>NC_000009.12:60518558-60688432 GCF_000001405.40 Homo sapiens | reverse complement strand
GAATTCTCAGAAACTTCCTTGTGATGTGTGTACTCAAGTAACAGAGTTGAACCTTCCTTTTGACAGAGCAGTTTTGAAGCACTCTTTTTGTAGAATCTGCAAGTGGATATTTTGTTACCTTTGAGGATTTCGTTGGACACGGGATATCTTCATATAAAATCTAGACAGAAGCATTCTCAGAAACTTCTTTGTGCTGTATGTCCTCAATTAACAGAGTTGAACCTTTGTGTGGATACAGCATTTTGGAAACATTCCTTTAGTAGAATCTGCAATTTGATATTTAGATAGCTAGGAAGATTTCCTTGGAAACGGGAATATCTTCATATAAAATCTAGACGGAAGCATTCTCAGAAACTGCTTTGTGATGTCTTCATTCAAGTCACAGAGTAGAATGTTCCCTTTTATAGAGCAGGTTTGAAACACTCTGTGCACTACCTGGAAGTGGACATTTGGAGCGCTTTGAGGCCTATGTTGAAAAAGAAAATATCTTCCCATAGAAACTAGACAGAAGCATTCTCAGAAACTTATTTGTGATGTGTATATTCAACTAACAGAGATGAACCTTTCTTTTTACAGAGCAGTTTTGAAACACTCTTTTTGTGGAATCTGAAAGTGGATATTTGGACAGCTTTGAAAATTTCGTTGGAAACGGGATTACATATAAAATCTAGGGAGAAGCATTCTCAGGAACTTCTTTGTGATGTTTGCATTCAAGTCACAGAACTGAACATTCGCTTTCATAGAGCAGGTTTGAAACAGTCTTTCTGTAGTATCTGCAAGCTGACGTTTCAAGCGCTTTCAGGCCTATGGTGAGAAAGGAAATATCTTCAAGAAAAACTAGACAGAAGCATTCTCAGAAACTTATTTGCCATGTGTGTTCTCAACTAACAGAGTTGAACCTTTGTTTTGATACGGCATTTGGAAACACTCTTTTTGTAGAATCTGCAGGTGGATATTCAGATAGCTTTGAAGGTTTCGTTGGAAACGGGAATATCTTCATATATAATCTAGACGGAAGCATTCTCAGAAACTGCTTTGTGATGTTTTCATTCAAGTCACAGAGTAGAATGTTCCCTGTTATATACCAGGTTTGAGACACTCTTTCTGCACTACCTGGAAGTGGACATTTGGAGCGCTTTGAGGCCTATGCTGAAAAAGGAAATATCTTCCCATAAAAACTAGACAGAAGCATTCTCAGAAACTTGTTTGTGATGTGTGTATTCAAGTAACAGAGATGAACCTTTCTTTTTACAGAGCAGTTTTGAAACACTCTTTTTGTGGAATCTGAAAGTGGATATTTGGATAGCTTTGAGGATTTCGTTGGAAACGGGATTACATATAAAATCTAGAGAGAAGCATTCTCAGGAACTTCTTTGTGATGTTTGCATTCACGTCACAGAACTGAACATTCCCTTTCATAGAGCATGTTTGAAACACTCTTTCTGTAGTATCTGCAAACGGACATCTCAAACGCTTTCAGGCCTATGGTGAGAAAGGAAATATCTTCAAATAAAAACTAGACAGAAGCATTCTCATAAACTTATTTGTGATGTGTGTCCTCAACTAACAGAGTTGAACCTTTCTTTTGATACAACATTTTGGAAACACTCTTTTTGTGGAATCTGCAAGTGGATATTTGGATAGCTTTGAAGGTTTCGTTGGAAACGGGAATATCTTCATATAAAATCAAGACAGAAACATTCTCAGAAACTTCTCTGTGATGTTTGCATTCAACTCATAGAGTTGAACACTTCCCTTCATACAGCAGGTTTGAAACACTCTTTTTGTAATATTTGGAAGTGGACATTTGCAGCGCTTTGAGGCCTATGTTGAAAAAGGAAATATCTTCACCTAAAAACCAGACAGAAGCATTCTCAGAAACTTCCTTGTGATGTGTGTACTCAAGTAACAGAGTTGAACCTTACTTTTGACAGAGCCGTTTTGAAACAGTCTTTTTGTAGAATCTGGAAGTAGATATTTGGATACCTTTGAGGATTTCTTTGGAAACGGGATATCTTCATATAAAATCTAGACAGAAGCATTCTCAGAAACTTCTTTGTGCTGTATGTCCTCAATTAACAGAGTTGAACCTTTGTGTGGATACAGCATTTTGGAAACACTCCTTTAGTAGAATCTGCAAGTTGATATTTAGATAACTAGGAAGATTTCCTTGGAAACGGGAATATCTTCACATAAAATCTAGACGGAAGCATTCTCAGAAACTTCTCTGTGATGCTTGCATTCAACTCATAGAGTTGCACACTTCCTTTCATAGAGCAGGTTTGAAACTCTCTGTGCACTACCTGGAAGAGGACATTTGGAGCGCTTTGAGGCCTATGTTGAAAAAGGAAATATCTTCCCATAAAAACTAGACAGAAGCATTCTCAGAAACTTGTTTGTGATGTGTGTATTCAACTAACAGAGATGAACCTTTCTTTTTACAGAGCAGTTTTGAAACACTCTTTTTGTGGAATCTGAAAGTGGATATTTGGATAGCTTTGAGGATTTCGTTGGAAACGGGATTACATATAAAATCTAGGGAGAAGCATTCTCAGGATCTTCTTTGTGATGTTTGCATTCAAGTCACAGAACTGAACATTCCCTTTCATAGAGCAGCTTTGAAACACTCTTTCTGTAGTATCTGCAAGCGGACGTTTCAAGCGCTTTCAGGCCTGTGGTGAAAAAGGAAATATCTTCAAATAAAAACTAGACAGAAGCATTCACAGAAACTTATTTGCGATGTGTGTTCTCAACTAACAGAGTTGAACCTTTGTTTTGATACAGCATTTTGGAAACACTCTTTTTGTAGGATCTGCAGGTGGATATTTGGATAGCTTTGAAGGTTTCGTTGGAAACGGGAATATCTTCATATAAAATCAACACAGAAGCATTCTCAGAAACTTCTCTGTGATGTTTGCATTCAACTCATAGAGTTGAACACTTCCTTTCATAGAGCTGGTTTGAAATACTGTTTTTGTAATATTTGGAAGTGGACATTGGCAGCGCTTTGAAGCCTATGGTGAAAAAGGAGATATCTTCTCCTAAAAACCAGACAGAAGTATTCTCAGAATCTTTCTTGTGATGTGTGTACTCAAGTAACAGAGTTGAACCTTCATTTTGACAGAGCAGTTTTGAAGCACTCTTTTTGCAGAATCTACAAGTGGATATTTTGATACCTTTGAGGATTTCGTTGGACACGGGATATCTTCACATAAAATCTAGACAGAAGCATTCTCAGAAACTTCTTTGTGCTGTATGTCCTCAATTAACAGTGTTGAACCTTTGTGTGGATACAGCATTTTGGAAAAACTCCTTTAGTAGAATCTGCAAGTTGATATTTAGATAGCTAGGAAGTTTTCCTTGGAAACGGGAATATCTTCACATAAAATCTAGACGGAAGCATTCTCAGAAACTGCTTTGTGATGTCTTCATTCAAGTCACAGAGTAGAATGTTCCCTTTTATAGAGCAGGTTTGAAACACTCAGTGCACTACCTGGAAGTGGACATTTGGAGCGCTTTGAGGCCTGTGTTGAAAAAGGAAATATCTTCCCATAAAAACTAGACAGAAGCATTCTCAGAAACTTGTTTGTGATGTGTGTATTCAACTAACAGAGATGAACCTTTCTTTTTACAGAGCAGTTTTGAAACAATCTTTTTGTGGAATCTGAAAGTGGATATTTGGATAGATTTGAGGATTTCGTTGGAAACGGGATTACATATAAAATCTAGGGAGAAGCATTCTCAGGAACTTCTTTGTGATGTTTGCATTCAAGTCACAGAACTGAACATTCCCTTTCATAGAGCAGGTTTGAAACACTCTTTCTGTAGTATCTGCAAGCGGACGTTTCAAGCGCTTTCAGGCCTATGGTGTGAAAGGAAAAATCTTCAAGTAAAAACTAGACAGAAGCATTCTCAGAAACTTATTTGCCATGTGTGTTCTCAACTAACAGAATTGAACCTTTGTTTTGATACGGCATTTTGGCAACACTCTTTTTGTAGGATCTGCCGGTGGATATTTGGATAGCTTTGAAGGTTTCGTTGGAAACGGGAATATCCTCATATAAAATCAAGACAGAAGCATTCTCGGAAACTTCTCTGTGATGTTTGCATTCAACTCATAGAGTTGAACACTTCCTTTCATAGAGCAGGTTTGAAACACTCTGTGCACTACCTGGAAGTGGACATTTGGAGCGCTTTGAGGCCTATGTTGAAAAAGGAAATATCTTCCCATAAAAACTAGACAGAAGCATTCTCAGAAACTTGTTTGTGATGTGTGTATTCAACTAACAGAGATGAACCTTTCTTTTTACAGAGCAGTTTTGAAACACTCTTTTTGTGGAATCTGAAAGTGGATATTTGGATAGCTTTGAGGATTTCGTTGGAAACGGGATTACATATAAAATCTAGGGAGAAGCATTCTCAGGAACTTCTTTGTGATGTTTGCATTCAAGTCACAGAACTGAACATTCCCTTTCATAGAGCAGGTTTGAAACACTCTGTCTGTAGTATCTGCAAGCGGACGTTTGAAGCGCTTTCAGGCCTGTGGTGAAAAAGGAAATATCTTCAAATAAAAATTAGACAGAAGCATTCTCAGAAACTTATTTGCGATGTGTGTTCTCAACTAACAGAGTTGAACCTTTGTCTTTATACAACATTTTGGAAACACTCTTTTTGTAGAATCTGCTAGTGGATATTTGGATAGCTTTGAAGGTTTCGTTGGAAACGGGAATATCTTCATATAAAATCAAGACAGAAGCATTCTCAGAAACTTCTCTGTGATGTTTGCATTCAACTCATAGAGTTGTACACTTCCCTTCATACAGCAGGTTTGAAACACTCTTTTTGTAATATTTGGAAGTGGACATTTGCAGCGCTTTGAGGCCTATGTTGAAAAAGGAAATATCTTCTCCTAAAAACCAGACAGAAGCATTCTCGGAAACTTCCTTGTGATATGTGTACTCAAGTAACAGAGTTGAACCTTCCTTTTGACAGATCAGTTTTGAAGCACTCTTTTTGTAGAATCTGCAAGTGGATATTTTGATACCTTTGAGGATTTCGTTGGACACGGGATATCTTCATATAAAATCTAGACAGAAGCATTCTCAGAAACTTCTTTGTGCTGTATGTCCTCAATTAACAGAGTTGAACATTTGTGTGGATACAGCATTTTGGAAACATTCCTTTAGTAGAATCTGCAAGTTGATATTTAGATAGCTAGGAAGATTTCCTTGGAAACGGGAATATCTTCATATAAAATCTAGACGGAAGCATTCTCAGAAAGTGCTTTGTGATGTTTGCATTCAAGTCACTGAGTTGAATATTCTCTTTTATAGAGCAGGTTTGAAACACTCTTTCTGCACTACCTGGAAGTGGACATTTGGAGCGCTTTGAGGCCTATGTTGAAAAAGGAAATATCTTCTCCTAAAAACCAGACAGAAGCATTCTCAGAAACTTCCTTGTGATGTGTGTACTCAAGTAACAGAGTTGAACCTTACTTTTGACAGAGCCGTTTTGAAACAGTCTTTTTGTAGAATCTGGAAGTAGATATTTGGATAGCTTTGAGGATTTCTTTGGAAACGGGATATCTTCATATAAAATCTAGACAGAAGCATTCTCAGAAACTTCTTTGTGCCGTATGTCCTCAATTAACAGAGTTGAACCTTTGTGTGGATACAGCACTTTGGAAACACTCCTTTAGTAGAATCTGCAAGTTGATATTTAGATAGCTAGGAAGATTTCCTTGGAAACGGGAATATCTTCACATAAAATCTAGACGGAAGCATTCTCAGAAACTTCTCTGTGATGCTTGCATTCAACTCATAGAGTTGAACACTTCCTTTCATAGAGCTGGTTTGAAATACTCTTTTTGTAATATTTGGAAGTGGACATTGGCAGCGCTTTGAAGCCTATGGTGAAAAAGGAGATATCTTCTCCTAAAAACCAGACAGAAGCATTCTCAGAATCTTTCTTGTGATGTGTGTACTCAAGTAACAGAGTTGAACCTTCATTTTGACAGAGCAGTTTTGAAGCACTCTTTTTGTAGAATCTGCAAGTGGATATTTTGATACCTTTGAGGATTTCTTTGGACACGGGATATCTTCATATAAAATCTAGACAGAAGCATTCTCAGAAACTTCTTTGTGCTGTATGTCCTCAATTAACAGAGTTGAGCCTTTGTTTCGATACAGCATTTTGGAAACATTCCTTTAGTAGAATCTGCAAGTTGATATTTAGATAGCTAGGAAGATTTCCTTGGAAACGGGAATATCTTCATATAAAATCTAGACGGAAGCATTCTCAGAAAGTGCTTTGTGATGTTTTCATTCAAGTCACAGAGTAGAATGTTCCCTGTTATATACCAGGTTTGGGACACTCTTTCTGCACTACCTGGAAGTGGACATTTGGAGCGCTTTGAGGCCTATGCTGAAAAAGGAAATATCTTCCCATAAAAACTAGACAGAAGCATTCTCAGAAACTTGTTTGTGATGTGTGTATTCAACTAACAGAGATGAACCTTTCTTTTCACAGAGCAGTTTTGAAACACTCTTTTTGTGGAATCTGAAAGTGGATATTTGGATAGCTTTGAGGATTTCGTTGGAAACGGGATTACATATAAAATCTAGAGAGAAGCATTCTCAGGAACTTCTTTGTGATGTTTGCATTCAAGTCACAGAACTGAACATTCCCTTTCATAGAGCATGTTTGAAACACTCTTTCTGTAGTATTTGCAAACGGACATTTCATACGCTTTCAGGCCTATGGTGAGAAAGGAAATATCTTCAAATAAAAACTAGACAGAAGCATTCTCAGAAACTTATTTGCGATGTGTGTCCTCAACTAACAAAGTTGAACCTTTGTTTTGATACAGCATTTTGGAAACACTCTTTTTGTAGGATCTGCAGGTGGATATTTGGATAGGTTTGAAGGTTTCGTTGGAAACGGGAATATCTTCATATAAAATCAACACAGAAGCATTCTCAGAAACTTCTCTGCGATGTTTGCATTCAACTCATAGAGTTGAACACTTCCTTTCATAGAGCTGGTTTGAAATACTCTTTTTGTAATATTTGGAAGTGGACATTGGCAGCGCTTTGAAGCCTATGTTGAAAAAGGAAATATCTTCTCCTAAAAACCAGACAGAAGCATTCTCAGAAACTTCCTTGTGATGTGTGTACTCAAGTAACAGAGTTGAACCTTACTTTTGACAGAGCCGTTTTGGAACAGTCTTTTTGTAGAATCTGGAAGTAGATATTTGGATACCTTTGAGGATTTCTTTGGAAACGGGATATCTTCATATAAAATCTAGACAGAAGCATTCTCAGAAACTTCTTTGTGCTGTATGTCCTCAATTAACAGAGTTGAACCTTTGTGTGGATAAAGCATTTTGGAAACACTCCTTTAGTAGAATCTGCAAGTTGATACTTAGATAGGAAGATTTCCTTGGAAACGGGAATATCTTCATATAAAATCTAGACAGAAGCATTCTCAGAAACTTCTTTGTGCTGTATGTCCTCAATTAACAGAGTTGAACCTTTGTGTGGATACAGCATTTTGGAAACATTCCTTTAGTAGAATCTGCAAGTTGATATTTAGATAGCTAGGAAGATTTCCTTGGAAACGGGAATATCTTCACATAAAATCTAGACGGAAGCATTCTCAGAAACTGCTTTGTGATGTCTTCATTGAAGTCACAGAGTAGAATGTTCCCTTTTATAGAGCAGGTTTGAAACACTCAGTGCACTACCTGGAAGTGGACATTTGGAGCGCTTTGACGCCTATGTTGAAAAAGGAAATATCTTCCCATAGAAACTAGACAGAAGCATTCTCAGAAACTTGTTTGTGATGTGTGTATTCAACTAACAGAGATGAACCTTTCTTTTTACAGAGCAGTTTTGAAACACTCTTTTTGTGGAATCTGAAAGTGGATATTTGGATAGCTTTGAGGATTTCGTTGGAAACGGGATTACATATAAAATCTAGGGAGAAGCATTCTCAGGAACTTCTTTGTGATGTTTGCATTCAAGTCACAGAACTGAACATTCCCTTTCATAGTGCAGGTTTGAAACACTCTTTCTGTAGTATCTGCAAGCTGACGTTTCAAGCGCTTTCAGGCCTGTGGTGCAAAAGGAAATATCTTCAAATAAAAACTAGACAGAAGTATTCTCAGAAACTTATTTGCGATGTGTGTTTCCAACTAACAGAGTTGAACCTTTGTTTTGATACAGCATTTTGGAAACAGTATTTTTGTAGGATCTGCAGGTGGATATTTGGATAGCTTTAAAGGTTTCGTTGGAAATGGGAATATCTTCATATAAAATCAAGACAGAAGCATTCTCAGAAACTTCTCTGTGATGTTTGCATTCAACTCATAGAGTTGAACACTTCCTTTCATAGAGCTGGTTTGAAATACTCTTTTTGTAATATTTAGAAGTGGACATTTGCAGCGGTTTGAGACCTATGGTGAAAAAGGAGATATCTTCTCCTAAAAACCAGACAGAAGCATTCTCAGAATCTTCCTTGTGATGTGTGTACTCAAGTAACAGAGATGAACCTTCCTTTTGACAGAGCAGTTTTGAAGCTCTCTTTTTGTAGAATCTGCAAGTGGATATTTTGATACCTTTGAGGATTTCGTTGGACACGGGATATCTTCATATAAAATCTAGACAGAAGCATTCTCAGAAACTGCTTTGAGATGTTTTCATTCATGTCACAGAGGAGAATGTTCCCTTTTATAGAGCAGGTTTGAAACACTCTGTGCACTACATGCAAGTGGACATTTGGAGCGCTTTGAGGCCTATGCGGAAAAAGGAAATATCTTCCCATAAAAACTAGACAGAAGCATTCTCAGAAACTTGTTTGTGATGTGTGTATTCAACTAACAGAGATGAACCTTTCTTTTTACAGAGCAGTTTTGAAACACTCTTTTTGTGGAATCTGAAAGTGGATATTTGGATAGCTTTGAGGATTTCGTTGGAAACGGGATTACATATACAACCTAGAGAGAAGCAGTCTCAGGAACTTCTTTGTGAAGTTTGCATTCAAGTCACAGAACTGAACATTCCCTTTCATAGAGCAGGTTTGAAACACTCTTTCTGTAGTATCTGCAAGCTGACGTTTCAAGCGCTTTCAGGCCTATGGTGAGAAAGGAAATATCTTCAAGTAAAAACTAGACAGAAGCATTCTCAGAAACTTATTTGCCATGTGTGTTCTCAACTAACAGAGTTGAAGCTTTGTTTTGATACGGTATTTTGGAAACACTCTTTTTGTAGAATCTGCAGGTGGATATTCGGATAGCTTTGAAGGTTTCGTTGGAAACGGGAATATCTTCATATAAAATCTAGACGGAAGCATTCTCAGAAACTGCTTTGTGATGTTTTCATTCAAGTCACAGAGTAGAATGTTCCCTGTTATATACCAGGTTTGAGACACTCTTTCTGCACTACCTGGAAGTGGGCATTTGGAGCGCTTTGAGGCCTATGATGAAAAAGGAAATATCTTCCCAAAAAACTAGACAGAAGCATTCTCAGAAACTTGTTTGTGATGTGTGTATTCAACTAACAGAGATGAACCTTTCTTTTTACAGAGCAGTTTTGAAACACTCTTTTTGTGGAATCTGAAAGTGGATATTTGGATAGCTTTGAGGATTTCGTTGGAAACGGGATTACATACAAAATCTAGAGAGAAGCATTCTCAGGAACTTCTTTGTGATGTTTGCATTCACGTCACAGAACTGAACATTCCCTTTCATAGAGCATGTTTGAAACACTCTTTCTGTAGTATCTGCAAACGGACATTTCAAACGCTTTCAGGCCTATGGTGAGAAAGGAAATATCTTCAAGTAAAAAGTAGACAGAAGCATTCTCAGAAACTTATTTGCCATGTGTGTCCTCAACTAACAGAGTTGAACCTTTGTTTTGATACGGCATTTTGGAAACACTCTTTTTGTAGAATCTGCAGGTGGATATTCGGATAGCTTTGAAGGTTTCGTTGGAAACGGGAATATCTTCATATAAAATCTAGACGGAAGCATTCTCAGAAACTGCTTTGTGATGTTTTCATTCAAGTCACAGAGTAGAATGTTCCCTGTTATATACCAGGTTTGAGACACACTTTCTGCACTACCTGGAAGTGCACATTTGGAGCGCTTTGAGGCCTATGATGAAAAAGGAAATATCTTCCCATAAACACTAGACAGAAGCATTCTCAGAAACTTGTTTGTGATGTGTGTATTCAACTAACAGAGATGAACCTTTCTTTTTACAGAGCAGTTTTCAAACACTCTTTTTGTGGAATCTGAAAGTGGATATTTGGTTAGCTTTGAGGATTTCGTTGGAAACGGGATTACATGTAAAATCTAGAGAGAAGCATTCTCAGGAACATCTTTGTGATGTTTGCATTCAAGTCACAGAACTGAACATTCCCTTTCATAGAGCATGTTTGAAACACTCTTTCTGTAGTATCTGCAAACGGATATTTCAAACGCTTTCAGGCCTATGGTGAGAAAGGAAATATCTTCAAATAAAAACTAGACAGAAGCATTCTCAGAAACTTATTTGCGATGTGTGTCCTCAACTAACAGAGTTGAACCTTTCTTTTGGTACAACATTTTGGAAACACTCTTTTTGTAGAATCTGCAAGTGGATATTTGGATGGCTTTGAAGGTTTCGTTGGAAACGGGAATATCTTCATATAAAATCAAGACAGAAGCATTCTCAGAAACTTCTCTGTAATGTTTGCATTCAACTCATAGAGTTGAACACTTCCCTTCATACAGCAGGTTTGAAACACTCTTTTTGTAATATTTGGAAGTGGACATTTGCAGCGCTTTGAGGCCTATGTTGAAAAAGGAAATATCTTCTCCTAAAAACCAGACAGAAGCATTCTCAGAAACTTCCTTGTGATGTGGGTACTCAAGTAACAGAGTTGAACCTTACTTTTGACAGAGCCGTTTTGAAACAGTCTTTTTGTAGAATCTGGAAGTAGATATTTGGATACCTTTGAGGATTTCTTTGGAAACGGGATATCTTCATATAAAATCTAGACAGAAGCATTCTCAGAAACTTCTTTGTGCTGTATGTCCTCAATTAACAGAGTTGAACCTTTGTGTGGATACAGCACTTTGGAAACACTCCTTTAGTAGAATCTGCTAGTTGATATATAGATAGCTAGGAAGATTTCCTTGGAAACGGGAATATCTTCACATAAAATCTAGACGGAAGCATTCTCAGAAACTGCTTTGTGAAGTCTTCATTCAAGTCACAGAGTAGAATGTTCCCTTTTATAGAGCAGGTTTGAAACACTCAGTGCACTACCTGGAAGTGGACATTTGGAGCGCTTTGAGGCCTATGTTGAAAAAGGAAATATCTTCCCATAGAAACTAGACAGAAGCATTCTCAGAAACTTGTTTGTGATGTGTGTATTCAACTAACAGAGATGAACCTTTCTTTTTACAGAGCAGTTTTGAAACACTCTTTTTGTGGAATCTGAAAGTGGATAATTGGATAGTTTTGAGGATTTCGTTGGAAACGGGATTACATATAAAATCTAGGGAGAAGCATTCTCAGGAACTTCTGTGTGATGTTTGCATTCAAGTCACAGAACTGAACATTCCCTTTCATAGAGCAGGTTTGAAACACTCTTTCTGTAGTATCTGCAAGCGGACGTTTCAAGCGCTTTCAGGCCTGTGGTGAAAAAGGAAATATCTTCAAATAAAAACTAGACAGAAGCATTCTCAGAAACTTATTTGCGATGTGTGTTCTCAACTAACAGAGTTGAACCTTTGTTTTGATACAGCATTTTGGAAACACTCTTTTTGTAGGATCTGCAGGTGGATATTTGGATAGCTTTGAAGGTTTCATTGGAAACGGGAATATCTTCATATAAAATCAACACAGAAGCCTTCTCAGAAACTTCTCTGTGATGTTTGCATTGAACTCATAGAGTTGAACACTTCCTTTCATACAGCAGGTTTGAAACACTCTTTTTGTAATATTTGGAAGTGGACATTTGCAGCGCTTTGAGGCCTATGTTGAAAAACGAAATATCTTCTCCTAAAAACCAGACAGAAGCATTCTCAGAAACTTCCTTGTGATGTGTGTACTCAAGTAACAGAGTTGAACTTTACTTTTGACAGAGCCGTTTTGAAACAGTCTTTTTGTAGAATCTGGAACTAGATATTTGGATACCTTTGAGGATTTCTTTGGAAACGGGATATCTTCATATAAAATCTAGACAGAAGCATTCTCAGGAACTTCTTTGTGCTGTATGTCCTCAATTAACAGAGTTGAACCTTTGTGTGGATACAGCATTTTGGAAACATTCCTTTAGTAGAATCTGCAAGTTGATATTTAGATAGCTAATAAGATTTCCTTGGAAAAGGGAATATCTTCATATAAAATCTAGACGGAAGCATTCTCAGAAACTGCTTTGTGATGTCTTCATTCAAGTCACAGAGTAGAATGTTCCCTTTTATAGAGCAGGTTTGAAACACTCTGTGCACTACCTGGAAGTGGACATTTGGAGCGCTTTGAAGCCTATGTTGAAAAAGGAAATATCTTCCCATAGAAACTAGACAGAAGCATTCTCAGAAACTTGTTTGTGATGTGTTTATTCAACTAACAGAGATGAACCTTTCTTTTTACAGAGTAGTTTTGAAACACTCTTTTTGTGGAATCTGAAATTGGATATTTGGATAGCTTTGAGGATTTCGTTGGAAACGGGATTACATATAAAATCTAGGGAGAAGCATTCTCAGGAACTTCTTTGTGATGTTTGCATTCAAGTCACAGAACTGAACATTCCCTTTCATAGTGCAGGTTTGAAACACTCTTTCTGTAGTATCTGCAAGCTGACGTTTCAAGCGCTTTCAGGCCTGTGGTGAAAAAGGAAATATCTTCAAATAAAAACTAGACAGAAGCACTCTCAGAAACTTATTTGTGATGTGTGTTCTCAACTAACAGAGTTGAACCTTTGTTTGGATACAACATTTTGGAAACACTCTTTTTGTAGAATCTGCAAGTGGATATTTGGATAGCTTTGAAGGTTTCGTTGTTAACGGGAATATCTTCATATAAAATCAAGACAGAAGAATTCTCAGAAACTTCTCTGTGATGTTTGCATTCAACTCATAGAGTTGAACACTTCCCTTCATACAGCAGATTTGAAACACTCTTTTTGTAATATTTGGAAGTGGACATTGGCAGCGCTTTGAGGCCTATGTTGAAAAAGGATATATCTTCTCCTAAAAACCAGACAGAAGCATTCTCAGAAACTTCCTTGTGATGTGTGTACTCAAGTAACAGAGTTGAACCTTCCTTTTGACAGAGCAGTTTTGAAGCACTCTTTTTGTAGAATCTGCAAGTGGATATTTTGATACCTTTGAGGATTTCGTTGGACACGGGATATCTTCATATAAAATCTAGACAGAAGCATTCTCAGAAACTTCTTTGTGCTGTATGTCCTCAATTAACAGAGTTGAACCTTTGTGTGGATACAGCATTTTGGAAACATTCCTTTAGTAGAATCTGCAAGTTGATATTTAGATAGCTAGGAAGATTTCCTTGGAAACGGGAATATCTTCATATAAAATCTAGCCGGAAGCATTCTCAGAAAGTGCTTTGTGATGTTTGCATTCAAGTCACAGAGTTGAATATTCCCTTTTATAGAGCAGGTTTGAAACACTCTTTCTGCACTACCTGGAAGTGGACATTTGGAGCGCTTTGAGGCCTATGTTGAAAAAGGAAATATCTTCCCATAAAAACTAGACAGAAGCATTCTCAGAAACTTGTTTGTGATGCGTGTATTCAACTAACAGAGATGAACCTTTCTTTTTACAGAGCAGTTTTGAAACACTCTTTTTGTGGAATCTGAAAGTGGATATTTGGATAGCTTTGAGGATTTCGTTGGAAACGGGATTACATATAAAACCTAGAGAGAAGCATTCTCAGGAACTTCTTTGTGATGTTTGCATTCAAGTCACAGAACTGAACATTCCCTTTCATAGAGCAGGTTTGAAACACTCTTTCTGTAGTATCTGCAAGCTGACGTTTCAAGAGCTTTCAGGCCTATGGTGAGAAAGGAAATATCTTCAAGTAAAAACTACACAGAAGCATTCTCAGAAACATATTTGCCATGTGTGTTCTCAACTAACAGAGTTGAACCTTTGTTTTGATACAGCATTTTGGAAACACTCTTTTTGTAGAATCTGCAGGTGGATATTCGGATAGCTTTGAAGGTTTCGTTGGAAACGGGAATATCTTCATATAAAATCAAGACAGAAGCATTCTCAGAAACTTCTCTGTGATGTTTGCATTCAACTCATAGAGTTGAACACTTCCCTTCATAGAGCAGGTTTGAAACACTCTTTTTGTAATATTTGGAAGTGGACATTTGCAGCGCTTTGAGGCCTATGTTGAAAAAGGAAATATCTTCTCCTATAAACCAGACAGAAGAATTCTCAGAAACTTCCTTGTGATGTGTGTACTCAAGTAACAGAGTTGAACCTTACTTTTGACAGAGCCGTTTTGAAACAGTCTTTTTGTAGAATCTGGAAGTAGATATTTGGATACCTTTGAGGATTTCTTTGGAAACGGGATATCTTCATATAAAATCTAGACAGAAGCATTCTCAGAAACTTCTTTGTGCTGTATGTCCTCAATTAACAGAGTTGAACCTTTGTGTGGATACAGCATTTTGGAAACACTCCTTTAGTAGAATCTGCAAGTTGATATTTAGATAGCTAGGAAGATTTCCTTGGAAACGGGAATATCTTCACATAAAATCTAGACGGAAGCATTCTCAGAAACTTCTCTGTGATGCTTGCATTCAACTCATAGAGTTGAACACTTCCTTTCATAGAGCAGGTTTGAAACACTCTGTGCACTACCTGGAAGTTGACATTTGGAGCGCTTTGAGGCGTATGTTGAAAAAGGAAATATCTTCCCATAAAAACTAGACAGAAGCATTCTCAGAAACTTGTTTGTGATGTGTGTATTCAACTAACAGAGATGAACCTTTCTTTTTACAGAGCAGTTTTGAAACACTCTTTTTGTGGAATCTGAAAGTGGATATTTGGATAGCTTTGAGGATTTCGTTGGAAACGGGATTACATATAAAATCTAGGGAGAAGCATTCTCAGGAACTTCTTTGTGATGTTTGCATTGAAGTCACAGAACTGAACATTCCCTTTCATAGAGCAGGTTTGAAACACTCTTTCTGTAGTATCTGAAAGCGGACGTTTCAAGCGCTTTCAGGCCTGTGGTGAAAAAGGAAATATCTTCAAATAAAAACTAGACAGAAGCATTCTCAGAAACTTATTTGCGATGTGTGTTCTCAACTAACAGAGTTGAACCTTTGTTTTGATAGAGCAGTTTGGAAACACTCTTTTTGTAGGATCTGGAAGTAGATATTTGGATACCTTTGAGGATTTCTTTGGAAACGGGATATCTTCATATAAAATCTAGACAGAAGCATTCTCAGAAACTTCTTTGTGCTGTATGTCCTCAATTAACAGAGTTGAACCTTTGTGTGGATACAGCATTTTGGAAACATTCCTTTAGTAGAATCTGCAAGTTGATATTTAGATAGCTAGGAAGATTTCCTTGGAAACGGGAATATCTTCATATAAAATCTAGACGGAAGCATTCTCAGAAAGTGCTTTGTGATGTTTGCATTCAAGTCAGAGAGTTGAATATTCCCTTTTATAGAGCAGGTTTGAAACACTCTTTCTGCACTACCTGGAAGTGGACATTTGGAGCGCTTTGAGGCCTATGTTGAAAAAGGAAATATCTTCCCATAAAAACTAGACAGAAGCATTCTCAGAAACTTGTTTGTGATGTGTGTATTCAACTAACAGAGATGAACCTTTCATTTTACAGAGCAGTTTTGAAACACTCTTTTTGTGGAATCTGAAAGTGGATATTTGGATAGCTTTGAGGATTTCGTTGGAAACGGGATTACATATAAAATCTAGAGGGAAGCATTCTCAGGAACTTCTTTGTGATGTTTGCATTCAAGTCACAGAACTGAACATTCCCTTTCATAGAGCATGTTTGAAACACTCTTTCTGTAGTATCTGCAAGCGGACGTTTCAAGCGCTTTCAGGCCTATGGTGAAAAAGGAAATATCTTCAAGTAAAAACTAGACAGAAGCATTCTCAGAAACTTATTTGCCATGTGTGTTCTCAACTAACAGAGTTGAACCTTTGTTTTGATACGGCATTTTGGAAACACTCTTTTTGTAGAATCTGCAGGTGGATATTCGGATAGCTTTGAAGGTTTCGTTGGAAACGGGAATAACTTCATATAAAATCTAGACGGAAGCATTCTCAGAAACTGCTTTGTGATGTTTTCATTCAAGTCACAGAGTAGAATGTTCCCTTTTATATACCAGGTTTGAGACACTCTTTCTGCACTATCTGGAAGTGGACATTTGGAGCGCTTTGAGGCCTATGATGAAAAAGGAAATATCTTCCCATAAAAACAAGACAGAAGCATTCTCAGAAACTTGTTTGTGATGTGTGTATTCAACTAACAGAGATGAACCTTTCTTTTTACAGAGCAGTTTTGAAACACTCTTTTTGTGGAATCTGAAAGTGGATATTTGGATAGCTTTGAGGATTTCGTTGGAAACGGGATTACATATAAAATCTAGGGAGAAGCATTCTCAGGAACTTCTTTGTGATGTTTGCATTCAAGTCACAGAACTGAACATTCCCTTTCATAGAGCAGGATTGAAACACTCTTTCTGTAGTATCTGCAAGCGGACGTTTCAAGCGCTTTCAGGCCTGTGGTGAAAAAGGAAATATCTTCAAATAAAAACTAGACAGAAGCATTCTCAGAAACTTATTTGCGATGTGTGTTCTCAACTAACAGAGTTGAACCTTTGTTTTGATACAGCATTTTGGAAACACTCTTTTTGTAGGATCTGCATGTGGATATTTGGATAGCTTTGAAGGTTTCGTTGGAAACGGGAATATCTTCATATAAAATCAAGACAGAAGCATTCTCAGAAACTTCTCTGTGATGTTTGCATTCAACTCATAGAGTTGAACACTTCCCTTCATAGAGCAGGTTTGAAACACTCTTTTTGTAATATTTGGAAGTGGACATTTGCAGCGCTTTGAGGCCTATGTTGAAAAAGGAAATATCTTCTCCTAAAAACCAGACAGAAGCATTCTCAGAAACTTCCTTGTGATGTGTGTACTCAAGTAACAGAGTTGAACCTTACTTTTGACAGAGCCGTTTTGAAACAGTCTTTTTGTAGAATCTGGAAGTAGATATTTGGATACCTTTGAGGATTTCTTTGGAAACGGGATATCTTCATATAAAATCTAGACAGAAGCATTCTCAGAAACTTCTTTGTGCTGTATGTCCTCAATTAACAGAGTTGAACCTTTGTGTGGATACAGCATTTTGGAAACATTCCTTTAGTAGAATCTGCAAGTTGATATTTAGATAGCTAGGAAGATTTCCTTGGAAACGGGAATATCTTCATATAAAATCTAGACGGAAGCATTCTCAGAAACTGCTTTGTGATGTCTTCATTCAAGTCACAGAGTAGAATGTTCCCTTTTATAGAGCAGGTTTGAAACACTCTGTGCACTACCTGGAAGTGGACATTTGGAGCGCTTTGAGGCCTATGTTGAAAAAGGAAATATCTTCCCATAGAAACTAGACAGAAGCATTCTCAGAAACTTGTTTGTGATGTGTGTATTCAACTAACACAGATGAACCTTTCTTTTTACAGAGCAGTTTCGAAACACTCTTTTTGTGGAATCTGAAAGTGGATATTTGGATAGCTTTGAGGATTTCGTTGGAAACGGGATGACATATAAAATCTAGGGAGAAGCATTCTCAGGAACTTCTTTGTGATGTTTGCATTCAAGTCACAGAACTGAACATTCCCTTTCATAGAGCAGGTTTGAAACACTCTTTCTGTAGTATCTGCAATCGGACGTTTCAAGCGCATTCAGGCCTGTGGTGAAAAAGGAAATATCTTCAAATAAAAACTAGACAGAAGCATTCTCAGAAACTTATTTGCGATGTGTGTTCTCAACTAACAGAGTTGAACCTTTGTTTTGATACAGCATTTTGGAAACACTCTTTTTGTAGGATCTGCAGGTGGATATTTGGATAGCTTAGAAGGTTTCGTTGGAAACGGGAATATCTTCATATAAAATCAAGACAGAAGCATTCTCAGAAACTTCTCTGTGATGTTTGCATTCAACTCATGGAGTTGAACACTTCCTTTCATAGAGCAGGTTTGAAACAGTCTGTGCACTACCTGGAAGTGGACATTTGGAGCGCTTTGAGGCCTATGTTGAAAAAGGAAATATCTTCCCATAAAAACTAGACAGAAGCATTCTCAGAAACTTGTTTGTGATGTGTGTATTCAACTAACAGAGATGAACCTTTCTTTTTACAGAGCAGTTTTGAAACACTCTTTTTGTGGAATCTGAAAGTGGATATTTGGATAGCTTTGAGGATTTCGTTGGAAACGGGATTACATATAAGATCTAGAGAGAAGCATTCCAGGAACTTCTTTGTGATGTTTGCATTCAAGTCACAGAACTGAACATTCCCTTTCATAGAGCATGTTTGAAACACTCTTTCTGTAGTATCTGCAAACGGACATTTCAAGCGCTTTCAGGCCTATGGTAAGAAAGGAAATATCTTCAAATAAAAACTAGACAGAAGCATTCTCAGAAACTTATTTGCGATGTGTGTCCTCAACTAACAGAGTTGAACCTTTGTTTTGATACAACATTTTGGAAACACTCTTTTTGTAGAATCTGCAAGTGGATATTTGGATAGCTTTGAAGGTTTCGTTGGAAACGGGAATATCTTCATATAAAATCAAGACAGAAGCATTCTCAGAAACTTCTCTGTGATGTTTGCATTCAACTCATAGAGTTGAACACTTCCCTTCATAGAGCAGGTTTGAAACACTCTTTTTGTAATATTTGGAAGTGGACATTTGCAGCTCTTTGAGGCCTATGTTGAAAAAGGAAATATCTTCTCCTAAAAACCAGACAGAAGCATTCTCAGAAACTTCCTTGTGATGTGTGTACTCAAGTAACAGAGTTGAACCTTACTTTTGACAGAGCCGTTTTGAAACAGTCTTTTTGTAGGATCTGGAAGTAGATATTTGGATACCTTTGAGGATTTGTTTGGAAACGGGATATCTTCATATAAAATCTAGACAGAAGCATTCTCAGAAACTTCTTTGTGCTGTATGTCCTCAATTAACAGAGTTGAACCTTTGTGTGGATACAGCATTTTGGAAACATACCTTTAGTAGAATCTGCAAGTTGATATTTAGATAGCTAGGAAGATTTCCTTGGAAACGGGAATATCTTCATATAAAATCTAGACGGAAGCATTCTCAGAAAGTGCTTTGTGATGTTTGCATTCAAGTCACAGAGTTGAATATTCCCTTTTATAGAGCAGGTTTGAAACACTCTTTCTGCACTACCTGGAAGTGGACATTTGGAGCGCTTTGAGGCCTATGTTGAAAAAGGAAATATCTTCCCATAAAAACTAGACAGAAGCATTCTCAGAAACTTGTTTGTGATGTGTGTATTCAACTAACAGAGATGAACCTTTCTTTTTACAGAGCAGTTTGGAAACACTCTTTTTGTGGAATCTGAAAGTGGATATTTGGATAGCTTTGAGGATTTCGTTGGAAACGGGATTACATATAAAATCTAGAGAGAAGCATTCTCAGGAACTTCTTTGTGATGTTTGCATTCAAGTCACAGAACTGAACATTCCCTTTCATAGAGCATGTTTGAAACACTCTTTCTGTAGTATCTGCAAGCGGACGTTTCAAGCGCTTTCAGGCCTATGGTGAGAAAGGAAATATCTTCAAGTAAAAACTAGACAGAAGCATTCTCAGAAACTTATTTGCCATGTGTGTTCTCAACTAACAGAGTTGAACCTTTGTTTTGATACGGCATTTTGGAAACACTCTTTTTGTAGAATCTGCAGGTGGATATTCGGATAGCTTTGAAGGTTTCGTTGGAAACGGGAATATCTTCATATAAAATCTAGACGGAAGCATTCTCAGAAACTGCTTTGTGATGTTTTCATTCAAGTCACAGAGTAGAATGTTCCCTTTTATATACCAGGATTGAGACACTCTTTCTGCACTATCTGGAAGTGGACATTTGGAGCGCTTTGAGGCCTATGTTGAAAAAGGAAATATCTTCCCATAAAAACTAGACAGAAGCATTCTCAGAAACTTGTTTGTGATGTGTGTATTCAACTAACAGAGATGAACCTTTCTTTTTACAGAGCAGTTTTGAAACACTCTTTTTGTGGAATCTGAAAGTGGATATTTGGATAGCTTTGAGGATTTCGTTGGAAACGGGATTACATATAAAATCTAGAGAGAAGCATTCTCAGGAACTTCTTTGAGATGTTTGCATTCACGTCACAGAACTGAACATTCCCTTTCATAGAGCATGTTTGAAACACTCTTTCTGTAGTATCTGCAAACGGACATTTCAAGCGCTTTCAGGCCTATGGTAAGAAAGGAAATATCTTCAAGTAAAAACTAGACAGAAGCATTCTCAGAAACTTATTTGCGATGTGTGTCCTCAACTAACAGAGTTGAACCTTTGTTTTGATACAACATTTTGGAAACACTCTTTTTGTAGAATCTGCAAGTGGATATTTGGATAGCTTTGAAGGTTTCGTTGGAAACGGGAATATCTTCATATAAAATCAAGACAGAAGCATTCTCAGAAACTTCTCTGTGATGTTTGCATTCAACTCATAGAGTTGAACACTTCCCTTCATAGAGCAGATTTGAAACACTCTTTTTGTAATATTTGGAAGTGGACATTTGCAGCTCTTTGAGGCCTATGTTGAAAAAGGAAATATCTTCTCCTAAAAACCAGACAGAAGCATTCTCAGAAACTTCCTTGTGATGTGTGTACTCAAGTAACAGAGTTGAACCTTACTTTTGACAGAGCCGTTTTGAAACAGTCTTTTTGTAGAATCTGGAAGTAGATATTTGGATACCTTCGAGGATTTCTTTGGAAACGGCATATCTTCATATAAAATCTAGACAGAAGCATTCTCAGAAACTTCTTTCTGCTGTATGTCCTCAATTAACAGAGTTGAACCTTTGTGTGGATACAGCATTTTGGAAACATTCCTTTAGTAGAATCTGCAAGTTGATATTTAGATAGCTAGGAAGATTTCCTTGGAAACGGGAATATCTTCATATAAAATCTGGAAGGAAGCATTCTCAGAAAGTGCTTTGTGATGTTTGCATTCAAGTCACAGAGTTGAATATTCCCTTTTATAGAGCATGTTTGAAACACTCTTTCTGCACTACCTGGAAGTGGACATTTGGAGCGCTTTGAGGCCTATGTTGAAAAAGGAAATATCTTCCCATAAAAACTAGACAGAAGCATTCTCAGAAACTTGTTTGTGATGTGTGTATTCAACTAACAGAGATGAACCTTTCTTTTTACAGAGCAGTTTTGAAACACTCTTTTTGTTGAATCTGAAAGTGGATATGTGGATAGCTTTGAGGATTTCGTTGGAAACGGGATTACATATAAAATCTAGAGAGAAGCATTCTCAGGAACTTCTTTGTGATGTTTGCATTCAAGTCACAAAACTGAACATTCCCTTTCATAGAGCATGTTTGAAACACTCTTTCTGTAGTATCTGCAAGCGGACGTTTCAAGCGCTTTCAGGCCTATGGTGAGAAAGGAAATATCTTCAAGTAAAAACTAGACAGAAGCATTCTCAGAAACTTATTTGCGATGTGTGTCCTCAACTAACAGAGTTGAACCTTTGTTTTGATACAACATTTTGGAAACACTCTTTTTGTAGAATCTGCAGGTGGATATTTGGATAGCTTTGAAGGTTTCGTTGGAAACGGGAATATCTTCATATAAAATCAAGACAGAAGCATTCTCAGAAACTTCTCTGTGATTTTTGCATTCAACTCATAGATTTGAACACTTCCCTTCATAGAGCAGGTTTGAAACACTCTTTTTGTAATATTTGGAAGTGGGCATTTGCAGCGCTTTGAGGCCTATGTTGAAAAAGGTAATATCTTCTCCTAAAAACCAGACAGAAGCATTCTCAGAAACTTCTTTGTGATGTTTGCACTCAAATCACAGAGCTGAACATTCCCTTTCTTAGAGCACGTTTGAAACTCTCTTTTTGTAGTATCTGCAAGCGGACATTTGGAGTGATTTGAGGCCTATGGTGAGAAAGGAAATATCTTCAAGTAAAAACTAGACAGAAGCATTCTCAGAAACTTATTTGCCATGTGTGTTCTCAACTAACAGAGTTGAACCTTTGTTTTGATACGGCATTTTGGAAACACTCTTTTTGTAGAATCTGCAGGTGGATATTCGGATAGCTTTGAAGGTTTCGTTGGAAACGGGAATATCTTCATATAAAATCTAGACGGAAGCATTCTCAGAAACTGCTTTGTGATGTTTTCATTCAAGTCACAGAGTAGAATGTTCCCTTTTATATACCAGGTTTGAGACACTCTTTCTGCACTATCTGGAAGTGGACATTTGGAGCGCTTTGAGGCCTATGATGAAAAAGGAAATATCTTCCCATAAAAACTAGACAGAAGCATTCTCAGAAACTTGTTTGTGATGTGTGTATTCAACTAACAGAGATGAACCTTTCTTTTTACAGAGCAGTTTTGAAACACTCTTTTTGTGGAATCTGAAAGTGGATATTTGGATAGCTTTGAGGATTTCGTTGGAAACGGGATTACATATAAAATCTAGAGAGAAGCATTCTCAGGAACTTCTTTGTGATGTTTGCATTCACGTCACAGAACTGAACATTCCCTTTCATAGAGCATGTTTGAAACACTCTTTCTGTAGTATCTGCAAACGGACATTTCAAGCGCTTTCAGGCCTATGGTAAGAAAGGAAATATCTTCAAATAAAAACTAGACAGAAGCATTCTCAGAAACTTATTTGCGATGTGTGTCCTCAACTAACAGAGTTGAACCTTTGTTTTGATACAACATTTTGGAAACACTCTTTTTGTAGAATCTGCAAGTGGATATTTGGATAGCTTTGAAGGTTTCGTTGGAAACGGGAATATCTTCATATAAAATCAAGACAGAAGCATTCTCAGAAACTTCTCTGTGATGTTTGCATTCAACTCATAGAGTTGAACACTTCCCTTCATAGAGCAGGTTTGAAACACTCTTTTTGTAATATTTGGAAGTGGACATTTGCAGCGCTTTGAGGCCTATGTTGAAAAAGGAAATATCTTCTCCTAAAAACCAGACAGAAGCATTCTCAGAAACTTCCTTGTGATGTGTGTACTCAAGTAACAGAGTTGAACCTTACTTTTGACAGAGCCGTTTTGAAACAGTCTTTTTGTAGAATCTGGAAGTAGATATTTGGATACCTTTGAGGATTTCTTTGGAAACGGGATATCTTCATATAAAATCTAGACAGAAGCATTCTCAGAAACTTCTTTGTGCTGTATGTCCTCAATTAACAGAGTTGAACCTTTGTGTGGATACAGCATTTTGGAAACATTCCTTTAGTAGAATCTGCAAGTTGATATTTAGATAGCTAGGAAGATTTCCTTGGAAACGGGAATATCTTCATATAAAATCTGGAAGGAAGCATTCTCAGAAAATGCTTTGTGATGTTTGCATTCAAGTCACAGAGTTGAATATTCCCTTTTATAGAGCATGTTTGAAACACTCTTTCTGCACTACCTGGAAGTGGACATTTGGAGCGCTTTGAGGCCTATGTTGAAAAAGGAAATATTTTCCCATAGAAACTAGACAGAAGCATTCTCAGAAACTTGTTTGTGATGTGTGTATTCAACTAACAGAGATGAACCTTTCTTTTTACAGAGCAGTTTCGAAACACTCTTTTTGTGGAATCTGAAAGTGGATATTTGGATAGCTTTGAGGATTTCGTTGGAAACGGGATGACATATAAAATCTAGGGAGAAGCATTCTCAGGAACTTCTTTGTGATGTTTGCATTCAAGTCACAGAACTGAACATTCCCTTTCATAGAGCAGGTTTGAAACACTCTTTCTGTAGTATCTGCAATCGGACGTTTCAAGCGCATTCAGGCCTGTGGTGAAAAAGGAAATATCTTCAAATAAAAACTAGACAGAAGCATTCTCAGAAACTTATTTGCGATGTGTGTTCTCAACTAACAGAGTTGAACCTTTGTTTTGATACAGCATTTTGGAAACACTCTTTTTGTAGGATCTGCAGGTGGATATTTGGATAGCTTAGAAGGTTTCGTTGGAAACGGGAATATCTTCATATAAAATCAAGACAGAAGCATTCTCAGAAACTTCTCTGTGATGTTTGCATTCAACTCATGGAGTTGAACACTTCCTTTCATAGAGCAGGTTTGAAACAGTCTGTGCACTACCTGGAAGTGGACATTTGGAGCGCTTTGAGGCCTATGTTGAAAAAGGAAATATCTTCCCATAAAAACTAGACAGAAGCATTCTCAGAAACTTGTTTGTGATGTGTGTATTCAACTAACAGAGATGAACCTTTCTTTTTACAGAGCAGTTTTAAAACACTCTTTTTGTGGAATCTGAAAGTGGATATTTGGATAGCTTTGAGGATTTCGTTGGAAACGGGATTACATATAAAATCTAGGGAGAAGCATTCTCAGGAACTTCTTTGTGATGTTTGCATTCAAGTCACAAAACTGAACATTCCCTTTCATAGAGTAGGATTGAAACTCTCTTTCTGTAGTATCTGCAAGCGGACGTTTCAAGCGCTTTCAGGCCTGTGGTGAAAAAGGAAATATCTTCAAATAAAAACTAGACAGAAGCATTCTCAGAAACTTATTTGCGATGTGTGTTCTCAACTAACAGAGTTGAACCTTTGTTTTGATACAGCATTTTGGAAACACTCTTTTTGTAGGATCTGCATGTGGATATTTGGATAGCTTTGAAGGTTTCGTTGGAAACGGGAATATCTTCATATAAAATCAAGACAGAAGCATTCTCAGAAACTTCTCAGTGATGTTTGCATTCAACTCATAGAGTTGAACACTTCCCTTCATAGAGCAGGTTTGAAACACTCTTTTTGTAATATTTGGAAGTGGACATTTACAGCGCTTTGAGGCCTATGTTGAAAAAGGAAATATCTTCCCATAAAAACTAGACAGAAGCATTCTCAGAAACTTGTTTGTGATGTGTGTATTCAACTAACAGAGATGAACCTTTCTTTTTACAGAGCAGTTTTGAAACACTCTTTTTGTGGAATCTGAAAGTGGATATTTGGATACCTTTGAGGATTTCTTTGGAAACGGGATTACATAAAAAATTTAGGGAGAAGCATTCTCAGGAACTTCTTTGTGATGTTTGCATTCAAATCACAGAACTGAACATTACTTTTCATAGAGCATGTTTGAAACAATATTTCTGTAGTATTTGCAAGCGGACGTTTCAAGCGCTTTCAGGCATATGGTGAAAAAGGAAATATCTTCAAATAAAAACTAGACAGAAGCATTCTCAGAAACTTATTTGCGATGTGTCTTCTCAACTAACAGAGTTGAACCTTTGTTTTGATACAGCATTTTGGAAACACTCTTTTTGTAGGATCTGCAGGTGGATATTTGGATAGCTTTGAAGGTTTCGTTGGAAACGGGAATATCTTCATATAAAATCAAGACAGAAGCATTCTCAGAAACTTCTCTGTGATGTTTGCATTCAACTCATAGAGTTGAACACTTCCCTTCATAGAGCAGGTTTGAAACACTCTTTTTGTAATATTTGGAAGTGGACATTTGCAGCGCTTTGAGGCCTATGTTGAAAAAGGAAATATCTTCTCCTAAAAACCAGACAGAAGCATTCTCAGAAACTTCCTTGTGATGTGTGTACTCAAGTAACAGAGTTGAACCTTACTTTTGACAGAGCCGTTTTGAAAAAGTCTTTTTGTAGAATCTGGAAGTAGATATATGGATACCTTTGAGGATTTCTTTGGAAACGGGATATCTTCATAAAAAATCTAGACAGAAGCATTCTCAGAAACTTCTTTGTGCTGTATGTCCTCAATTAACAGAGTTGAACCCTTGTGTGGATACAGCATTTTGGAAACATTCCTTTAGTAGAATCTGCAAGTTGATATTTAGATAGCTAGGGAGATTTCCTTGGAAACGGGAATATCTTCATATAAAATCTTGACGGAAGCATTCTCAGAAACTGCTTTGTGATGTCTTCATTCAAGTCACAGAGTAGAATGTTCCCTATTATAGAGCAGGTTTGAAACACTCTGTGCACTACCTGGAAGTGGACATTTGGAGCGCTTTGAGGCGTATGTTGAAAAAGGAAATATCTTCCCATAGAAACTAGACAGAAGCATTCTCAGAAACTTGTTTGTGATGTGTGTATTCAACTAACAGAGATGAACCTTTCTTTTTACACAGCAGTTTTGAAACACTCTTTTTGTGGAATCTGAAAGTGGATATTTGGATAGCTTTGAGGATTTCGTTGGAAACGGGATTACATATAAAATCTAGGGAGAAGCATTCTCAGGAACTTCTTTGTGATGTTTGCATTCAAGTCACACAACTGAACATTCCCTTTCATAGAGCAGGTTTGAAACACTCTTTCTGTAGTATCTGCAAGCGGACGTTTCAAGCGCTTTCAGGCCTGTGGTGAAAAAGGAAATATCTTCAAATAAAAACTAGACAGAAGCATTCTCAGAAACTGATTTGCGATGTGTGTTCTCAACTAACAGAGTTGAACCTTTGTTTGGATACTGCATTTTGGAAACACTCTTTTTGTAGGATCTGCAGGTGGATATTTGGATAGCTTAGAAGGTTTCGTTGGAAACGGGAATATCTTCATATAAAATCAAGACAGAAGCATTCTCAGAAACTTCTCTGTGATGTTTGCATTCAACTCATGGAGTTGAACACTTCCTTTCATAGAGCAGGTTTGAAACAGTCTGTGCACTACCTGGAAGTGGACATTTGGAGCGCTTTGAGGCCTATGTTGAAAAAGGAAATATCTTCCCATAGAAACTAGACAGAAGCATTCTCAGAAACTTGTTTGTGATGTGTGTATTCAACTAACAGAGATGAACCTTTCTTTTTACAGAGCAGTTTTGAAACACTCTTTTTGTGGAATCTGAAAGTGGATATTTGGATAGCTTTGAGGATTTCGTTGGAAACGGGATTACATATAAAATCTAGGGAGAAGCATTCTCAGGAACTTCTTTGTGATGTTTGCATTCACGTCACAGAACTGAACATTCCCTTTCATAGAGCAGGTTTGAAACACTCTTTCTGTAGTATCTGCAAGCTGTCGTTTCAAGCGCTTTCAGGCCTGTGGTGAAAAAGGAAATATCTTCAAATAAAAACTAGACAGAAGCATTCTCAGAAACTTATTTGCGATGTGTGTTCTCAACTAACAGAGTTGAACCTTTGTTTGGATACAACATTTTGGAAACACTCTTTTTGTAGAATCTGCAAGTGGATATTTGGATAGCTTCGAAGGTTTCGTTGGAAACGGGAATATCTTCATATAAAATCAAGACAGAAGCATTCTCAGAAACTTCTCTGTGATGTTTGCATTCAACTCATAGAGTTGAACACTACCTTTCATAGAGCAGGTTTGAAACACTCTGTGCACTACCTGGAAGTGGACATTTGGAGCGCTTTGAGGCCTATGTTGAAAAAGGAAATATCTTCCCATAAAAACTAGACAGAAGCATTCTCAGAAACTTGTTTGTGATGTGTGTATTCAACTAACAGAGATGAACCTTTCTTTTTACAGAGCAGTTTTGAAACACTCTTTTTGTGGAATCTGAAAGTGGATATTTGGATAGCTTTGAGGATTTCGTTGGAAACGGGATTACATATAAAATCTAGAGAGAAGCATTCTCAGGAACTTCTTTGTGATGTGTGCATTCACGTCACAGAACTGAACATTCCCTTTCATAGAGCATGTTTGAAACACTCTTTCTGTAGTATCTGCAAACGGACGTTTGAAGCGCTTTCAGGCCTATGGTGAGAAAGGAAATATCTTCAAGTAAAAACTAGACAGAAGCATTCTCAGAAACTAATTTGCCATGTGTGTTCTCAACTAACAGAGTTGAACCTTTGTTTTGATACAACATTTTGGAAACACTTTTTTGTAGAATCTGCAAGTGGATATTTGGATAGCTTTGAAGGTTTCGTTGGAAACGGGAATATCTGCATATAAAATCAAGACAGAAGCATTCTCAGAAACTTCTCTGTGATGTTTGCATTCAACTCATAGAGTTGAACACTTCCCTTCATACAGCAGGTTTGAAACACTCTTTTTGTAATATTTGGAAGTGGACATTTGCAGCGCTTTGAGGCCTATGTTGAAAAAGGAAATATCTTCCCATAAAAACTAGACAGAAGCATTCTCAGAAACTTGTTTGTGATGTGTGTAT
Source organism: Homo sapiens (assembly GCF_000001405.40). Classification (NCBI taxonomy): domain Eukaryota; kingdom Metazoa; phylum Chordata; class Mammalia; order Primates; family Hominidae; genus Homo; species Homo sapiens. Next base: position 60,660,011 of record NC_000009.12, on the reverse strand, counting down.
TCAACTAACAGAGATGAACCTTTCTTTTTACAGAGCAGTTTTGAAACACTCTTTTTGTGGAATCTGAAAGTGGATATTTGGATAGCTTTGAGGATTTCGTTGGAAACGGGATTACATATAAAATCTAGGGAGAAGCATTCTCAGGAACTTCTTTGTGATGTTTGCATTCAAGTCACAGAACTGAACATTCCCTTTCATAGAGCAGGTTTGAAACACTCTTTCTGTAGTATCTGCAAGCGGACGTTTGAAGCGCTTTCAGGCCTGTGGTGAAAAAGGAAATATCTTCAAATAAAAACTAGACAGAAGCATTCTCAGAAACTTATTTGCGATGTGTGTTCTCAACTAAAAGAGTTGAACCTTTGTTTGGATACAACGTTTTGGAAACACTCTTTTTGTAGGATCTGCAAGTGGATATTTGGATAGCTTTGAAGGTTTCGTTGGAAACCGGAATATCTTCATATAAAATCAAGACAGAAACATTCTCAGAAACTTCTCTGTGATGTTTACATTCAACTCATAGAGGTGAACACTTCCCTTCATAGAGCAGGTTTGAAACACTCTTTTTGTAATATTTGGAAGTGGACATTTGCAGCGCTTTGAGGCCTATGTTGAAGAACGAAATATCTTCTCCTAAAAACCAGACAGAAGCATTCTCAGAAACTTCCTTGTGATGTGTGTACTCAAGTAACAGAGTTGAACCTTCCTTTTGACAGAGCAGTTTTGAAGCACTCTTTTTGTAGAATCTGCAAGTGGATATTTTGATACCTTTGAGGATTTCGTTGGACACGGGATATCTTCATATAAAATCTAGACAGAAGCATTCTCAGAAACTTCTTTGTGCTGTATGTCCTCAATTAACAGAGTTGAACCTTTGTGTGGATACAGCATTTTGGAAACATTCCTTTAGTAGAGTCTGCAAGTTGATATTTAGATAGCTAGGAAGATTTCCTTGGAAACGGGAATATCTTCATATAAAATCTAGACGGAAGCATTCTCAGAAAGTGCTTTGTGATGTTTGCATTCAAGTCACAGAGTTGAATATTCCCTTTTATAGAGCAGGTTTGAAACACTCTTTCTGCACTACCTGGAAGTGGACATTTGGAGCGCTTTGAGGCCTATGTTGAAAAAGGAAATATCTTCTCCTAAAAACCAGACAGAAGAATTCTCAGAAACTTCCTTGTGATGTGTGTACTCAAGTAACAGAGTTGAACCTTACTTTTGACAGAGCCGTTTTGAAACAGTCTTTTTGTAGAATCTGGATGTAGATATTTGGATAGCTTTGAGGATTTCTTTGGAAACGGGATATCTTCATATAAAATCTAGACAGAAGCATTCTCAGAAACTTCTTTGTGCTGTATGTCCTCAATTAACATAGTTGAACCTTTGTCCGGATACAGCACTTTGGAAACACTCCTTTAGTAGAATCTGCAAGTTGATATTTAGATAGCTAGGAAGATTTCCTTGGAAACGGGAATATCTTCACATAAAATCTAGACGGAAGCATTCTCAGAAACTTCTCTGTGATGCTTGCATTCAACTCATAGAGTTGAACACTTCCTTTCATAGAGCTGGTTTGAAATACTCTTTTTGTAATATTTGGAAGTGGACATTGGCAGCGCTTTGAAGCCTATGGTGAAAAAGGAGATATCTTCTCCTAAAAACCAGACAGAAGCATTCTCAGAATCTTTCTTGTGATGTGTGTACTCAAGTAACAGAGTTGAACCTTCATTTTGACAGAGCAGTTTTGAAGCACTCTTTTTGTAGAATCTGCAAGTGGATATTTTGATACCTTTGAGGATTTCGTTGGACACGGGATATCTTCATATAAAATCTAGACAGAAGCATTCTCAGAAACTTATTTGCCATGTGTGTTCTCAACTAACACAGTTGAACCTTTGTTTTGATACGGCATTTTGGAAACACTCTTTTTGTAGAATCTGCAGGTGGATATTCGGATAGCTTTGAAGGTTTCGTTGGAAACGGGAATATCTTCATATAAAATCTAGACGGAAGCATTCTCAGAAACTTGTTTGTGATGTGTGTATTCAACTAACAGAGATGAACCTTTCTTTTTACAGAGTAGTTTTGAAGCACTCTTTTTGTGGAATCTTAAAGTGGATATTTGGATAGCTTTGAGGAATTCGTTGGAAACGGGATTACATATAAAATCTAGGGAGAAGCATTCTCAGGAACTTCTTTGTGATGTTTGCATTCACGTCACAGAACTGAACATTCCCTTTCATAGAGCATGTTTGAAACACTCTTTCTGTAGTATCTGCAAACGGACATTTCAAACGCTTTCAGGCCTATGGTGAGAAAGGAAATATCTTCAAATAAAAACTAGACAGAAGCATTCTCAGAAACTTATTTGCGATGTGTATCCTCAACTAACAGAGTTGAACCTTTCTTTTGATACAACATTTTGGAAACACTCTTTTTGTGGAATCTGCAATTGGATATTTGGATAGCTTTGAAGGTTTCATTGGAAACGGGAATATCTTCATATAAAATCAAGACAGAAGCATTCTCAGAAGCTTCTCTGTGATGTTTGCATTCAACTCATAGAGATGAACACTTCCCTTCATACAGCAGGTTTGAAACACTCTTTTTGTAATATTTGGAAGTGGACATTTGCAGCGCTTTGAGGCGTATGATGAAAAAGGAAATATCTTCCCATAAAAACTAGACAGAAGCATTCTCAGAAACTTGTTTGTGATGTGTGTATTCAACTAACAGAGATGAACCTTTCTTTTTACAGAGTAGTTTTGAAACACTCTTTTTGTGGAATCCGAAAGTGGATATTTGGATAGCTTTGAGGAATTCGTTGGAAACGGGATTACATATAAAATGTAGGGAGAAGCATTCTCAGGAACTTCTTTGTGATGTTTGCATTCAAGTCACAGAACTGAACATTCCCTTTCATAGAGCAGGTTTGAAACACTCTTTCTGTAGTATCTGCAAGCGGACGTTTGAAGCGCTTTCAGGCCTGTGGTGAAAAAGGAAATATCTTCAAATAAAAACTAGACAGAAGCATTCTCAGAAACTTATTTGCCATGTGTGTTCTCAACTAAAAGAGTTGAACCTTTGTTTGGATACAACATTTCGGAAACACTCTTTTTGTAGAATCTGCAAGTGGATATTTGGATAGCTTTGAAGGTTTCGTTGGAAACGGGAATATCCCCATATAAACTCAAGACAGAAGCATTCTCAGAAACTTCTCTGTGATGTTTGCATTCAACTCATAGAGTTGAACACTTCCTTTCATAGAGCAGGTTTGAAACACTCTGTACACTACCTGGAAGTGGACATTTGCAGCGCTTTCAGGCCTATGTTGAAAAAGGAAATATCTTCCCATAAAAACTAGACAGAAGCATTCTCAGAAACTTGTTTGTGATGTGTGTATTCAACTAACAGAGATGAACCTTTCTTTTTACAGAGCAGTTTTGAAACACTCTTTTTGTGGAATCTGAAAGTGGATATTTGGATAGCTTTGAGGATTTCGTTGGAAACGGGATTACATATAAAATCTAGGGAGAAGCATTCTCAGGAACTTCTTTGTGATGTTTGCATTCAAGTCACAGAACTGAACATTCCCTTTCATAGAGCAGGTTTGAAACACTCTTTCTGTAGTATCTGCAAGCGGACGTTTCAAGCGCTTTCAGGCCTGTGGTGAAAAAGGAAATATCTTCAAATAAAAACTAGACAGAGGCATTCTCAGAAACTTATTTGCGATGTGTGTTCTCAACTAATAGAGTTGAACCTTTGTTTTGATACAGCATTTTGGAAACACTCTTTTTGTAGGATCTGAAGGTGGATATTTGGATAGCTTTGAAGATTTCGTTGGAAAGGCGAATATCTTCATATAAAATCAACACAGAAGCCTTCTCAGAAACTTCTCTGTGATGCTTGCATTCAACTCATAGAGTTGAACACTTCCTTTCATAGAGCAGGTTTGAAACACTCTGTGCACTACCTGGAAGTGGACATTTGGAGCGCTTTGAGGCGTATGTTGAAAAAGGAAATATCTTCCCATAAAAACTAGACAGAAGCATTCTCAGAAACTTGTTTGTGATGTGTGTATTCAACTAACAGAGATGAACCTTTCTTTTTACAGAGCAGTTTTGAAACACTCTTTTTGTGGAATCTGAAAGTGGATATTTGGATAGCTTTGAGGATTTCGTTGGAAACGGGATTACATATAAAATCTAGGGAGAAGCATTCTCAGGAACTTCTTTGTGATGTTTGCATTGAAGTCACAGAACTGAACATTCCCTTTCATAGAGCAGGTTTGAAACACTCTTTCTGTAGTATCTGAAAGCGGACGTTTCAAGCGCTTTCAGGCCTGTGGTGAAAAGGGAAATATCTTAAAATAAAAACTAGACAGAAGCATTCTCAGAAACTTATTTGCGATGTGTGTTCTCAACTAACAGAGTTGAACCTTTGTTTTGATACAGCATTTTGGAAACACTCTTTTTGTAGGATCTGCAGGTGGATATTTGGATAGATTTGAAGGTTTCGTTGGAAACGGGAATATCTTCATATAAAATCAACACAGAAGCATTCTCAGAAACTTCTCTGTGATGTTTGCATTCAACTCATAGAGTTGAACACTTCCTTTCATAGAGCTGGTTTGAAATACTCTTTTTGTAATATTTGGAAGTGGACATTTGCAGCGCTTTGAAGCCTATGGTGAAAAAGGAGATATCTTCCCCTAAAAACCAGACAGAAGCATTCTCAGAATCTTTCTTGTGATGTGTGTACTCAAGTAACGGAGTTGAACCTTCATTTTGACAGAGCAGTTTTGAAGCACTCTTTTTGTAGAATCTACAAGTGGATATTTTGATACCTTTGAGGATTTCGTTGGACACGGGATATCTTCATATAAAATCTAGACAGAAGCATTCTCAGAAACTTCTTTGTGCTGTATGTCCTCAATTAACAGAGTTGAACCTTTGTGTGGATACAGCATTTTGGAAACATTCCTTTAGTAGAATCTGCAAGTTGATATTTAGATAGCTAGGAAGATTTCCTTGGAAACGGGAATATCTTCACATAAAATCTAGACGGAAGCATTCTCAGAAACTGCTTTGTGATGTCTTCATTCAAGTCACAGACTAGAATGTTCCCTTTTATAGAGCAGGTTTGAAACACTCAGTGCACTACCTGGAAGTGGACATTTGGAGCGCTTTGACGCCTATGTTGAAAAAGGAAATATCTTCCCATAGAAACTAGACAGAAGCATTCTCAGAAACTTGTTTGTGATGTGTGTATTCAACTAACAGAGATGAACCTTTCTTTTTACAGAGCAGTTTTGAAACACTCTTTTTGTGGAATCTGAAAGTGGATATTTGGATAGCTTTGAGGATTTCGTTGGAAACGGGATTACATATAAAATCTAGGGAGAAGCATTCTCAGGAACTTCTTTGTGATGTTTGCATTCACGTCACAGAACTGAACATTCCCTTTCATAGAGCAGGTTTGAAACACTCTTTCTGTAGTATCTGCAAGCTGACGTTTCAAGCGCTTTCAGGCCTGTGGTGAAAAAGGAAATATCTTCAAATAAAAACTAGACAGAAGCATTCTCAGAAACTTATTTGCGATGTGTGTTCTCAACTAACAGTGTTGAACCTTTGTTTGGATACAACATTTTGGAAACACTCTTTTTGTAGAATCTGCAAGTGGATATTTGGATAGCTTCGAAGGTTTCGTTGGAAACGGGAATATCTTCATATAAAATCAAGACAGAAGCATTCTCAGAAACTTCTCTGTGATGTTTGCATTCAACTCATAGAGTTGAACACTACCTTTCATAGAGCAGGTTTGAAACACTCTGTGCACTACCTGGAAGTGGACATTTGGAGCGCTTTGAGGCCTATGTTGAAAAAGGAAATATCTTCCCATAAAAACTAGACAGAAGCATTCTCAGAAACTTCTTTGTGATGTGTGTATTCAACTAACAGAGATGAACCTTTCTTTTTACAGAACAGTTTTGAAACACTCTTTTTGTGGAATCTGAAAGTGGATATTTGGATAGCTTTGAGGATTTCGTTGGAAACGGGATTACATATAAAATCTAGAGAGAAGCATTCTCAGGAACTTCTTTGTGATGTTTGCATTCACGTCACAGAACTGAACATTCCCTTTCATAGAGCATGTTTGAAACACTCTTTCTGTAGTATCTGCAAACGGACATTTCAAGCGCTTTCAGGCCTATGGTAAGAAAGGAAATATCTTCAAATAAAAACTAGACAGAAGCATTCTCAGAAACTTATTTGCGATGTGTGTCCTCAACTAACAGAGTTGAACCTTTGTTTTGATACAACATTTTGGAAACACTCTTTTTGTAGAATCTGCAAGTGGATATTTGGATAGCTTTGAAGGTTTCGTTGGAAACGGGAATATCTTCATATAAAATCAAGACAGAAGCATTCTCAGAAACTTCTCTGTGATGTTTGCATTCAACTCATAGAGTTGAACACTTCCCTTCATAGAGCAGGTTTGAAACACTCTTTTTGTAATATTTGGAAGTGGACATTTGCAGCGCTTTGAGGCCTATGTTGAAAAAGGAAATATCTTCTCCTAAAAACCAGACAGAAGCATTCTCAGAAACTTCCTTGTGATGTGTGTACTCAAGTAACAGAGTTGAACCTTCCTTTTGACAGAGCCGTTTTGAAACAGTCTTTTTGTAGAATCTGGAAGTAGATATTTGGATACCTTTGAGGATTTCTTTGGAAACGGGATATCTTCATATAAAATCTAGACAGAAGCATTCTCAGAAACTTCTTTGTGCTGTATGTCCTCAATTAACAGAGTTGAACCTTTGTGTGGATACAGCATTTTGGAAACATTCCTTTAGTAGGATATGCAAGTTGATATTTAGATAGCTAGGAAGATTTCCTTGGAAACGGGAATATCTTCATATAAAATCTAGACGGAAGCATTCTCAGAAAGTGCTTTGTGATGTTTGCATTCAAGTCACAGAGTTGAATATTCCCTTTTATAGAGCAGGTTTGAAACACTCTTTCTGCACTACCTGGAAGTGGACATTTGGAGCGCTTTGAGGCCTATGTTGAAAAAGGAAATATCTTCCCATAAAAACTAGACAGAAGCATTCTCAGAAACTTGTTTGTGATGTGTGTATTCAACTAACAGAGATGAACCTTTCTTTTTACAGAGCAGTTTTGAAACACTCTTTTTGTGGAATCTGAAAGTGGATATTTGGATAGCTTTGAGGATTTCGTTGGAAACGGGATTACATATAAAATCTAGAGAGAAGCATTCTCAGGAACTTCTTTGTGATGTTTGCATTCAAGTCACAGAACTGAACATTCCCTTTCATAGAGCATGTTTGAAACACTCCTTCTGTAGTATCTGCAAGCGGACGTTACAAGCGCTTTCAGCCCTATGGTGAGAAAGGAAATATCTTCAAGTAAAAACTAGACAGAAGCATTCTCAGAAACTTATTTGCCATGTGTGTTCTCAACTAACAGAGTTGAACCTTTGTTTTGATACGGCATTTTGGAAACACTCTTTTTGTAGAATCTGCAGGTGGATATTCGGATAGCTTTGAAGGTTTCGTTGGAAACGGGAATATCTTCATATAAAATCTAGACGGAAGCATTCTCAGAAACTGCTTTGTGATGTTTTCATTGAAGTCACAGAGTAGAATGTTCCCTTTTATATACCAGGTTTGAGACACTCTTTCTGCACTATCTGGAAGTGGACATTTGGAGCGCTTTGAGGCCTATGATGAAAAAGGAAATATCTTCCCATAAAAACTAGACAGAAGCATTCTCAGAAACTTCCTTGTGATGTGTGTACTCAAGTAACAGAGTTGAACCTTCCTTTTGACAGAGCCGTTTTGAAACAGTCTTTTTGTAGAATCTGGAAGTAGATATTTGGATACCTTTGAGGATTTCTTTGGAAACGGGATATCTTCATATAAAATCTAGACAGAAGCATTCTCAGAAACTTCTTTGTGATGTTTGCACTCAAATCACAGAGCTGAACATTCCCTTTCTTAGAGCACGTTTGAAACTCTCTTTTTGTAGTATCTGGAAGTGGACATTTGGAGTGATTTGAGGCCTATGGTGAAAAAGCAAATATCTTCCCATTAAAACTAGACAGAAGCATTCTCAAAACTTGATTGTGATGTGCGTACTCAAGTAAGAGAGTTGAACCATTCTTTTGATAGAACTGTTTTGAAACACTCTTTTTGTAGAATCTGCAAGTGCGTATTTGGATAGCTTTGAGGATTTCATTGCAAATGGGAATATCCATATAAAAAGTAGACAGAAGGATTCTCAGAAACTTCTTTGTAATGTTTGTATTCAAGTCACAGAGGTGAACATTGCCTTTCATAAAGCAGGTTTGACACACTCTTTTTATAGTATCTGGAAGTGGACATCTGGAGCGCTTTGAGGACTATGGTGAAAAAGGAACTATCTTCTCATAAAAACTAGAAAGAATCATTCTCAGAAACTTGTTTGTTATGTATGTACCCAACTAACAGAGTTGAACCTCTGTTTTGATAGAGCAGTTTTAAAGCAGTCTTTTTGTAGAACCTGCAAGTGGATATTTGGATAGCTTTGAGGATTTCTTTCGAAACGGGCATGTCAATATAAAAAGTAGACAGAAGCCTTCTCAGAAACTTCTTTGTAATGTTTGTATTCAACTCACAGAATTGAACATTCCCTTTCATAGAGGAGGTTTGAAACAGTCTTTTTTAGTATGTGGAAGTTGACATTTGGAGCACTTTGAGGCCTATGTTGAAAAAGGAAATATCTTCTCATAAAAACTAGACAGAAGCATTCTCAGAATCATGTTTGTGATGTGTGTACTCAACAAACAGAGTTGAACCTTTCTTTTCATAGAGCACTTTTGAAACACTCTTTTTGTAGAATCTGCAAGTGTATATTTGGATAGCTTTCAGGATTTCATTGGAAACGGGAATATCTTCATATAAAAACCAGACAGAAGAATTCTCAGAAACTACTTTGTGATGTTTGCATTCTAATCACAGAGTTGAACATTCCCTTTCATAGAGCAGGTTTGAAACACTCTTTTTGTAGTATCTGCAAGAGGACATTTGGAGTGCTTTGAGGTCTATGGTGAAAAAGGAAGTATCTTCCCATGAAAACGAGATAGAAGCAATCTCATAAACTTGTTTATGCTGTATCTCCTCAAGAAACAGTGTTGAACCTTTCTATTGATATAGCAGTTTTGAAACACTCCTTTTGTAGAATTTGCCAGTGGATATTTCGATAGCTTTCAGGATTTCATTGGAAACGGGAATATCTTCATATAAAAACCAGACAGAAGAATTCTCAGAAACTACTTTGTGATGTTTGCATTCTAATCACAGAGTTGAACATTCCCTTTCATAGAGCAGGTTTGAAACACTCTTTTTGTAGTATCTGCAAGAGGACATTTGGAGTGCTTTGAGGTCTATGGTGAAAAAGGAAGTATCTTCCCATGAAAACGAGATAGAAGCAATCTCATAAACTTGTTTATGCTGTATCTCCTCAAGAAACAGTGTTGAACCTTTCTATTGATATAGCAGTTTTGAAACACTCCTTTTGTAGAATTTGCCAGTGGATATTTCGATAGCTTTGAGGATTTCGTTGGAAACGGGAATGTCTTCGTATAAAATATAGACAGAAGCATTCTCAGAAACTTCTTCATGATGTTTGCATTCAAGTCACATATTTGAACATTCCCATTCATAGAGCAGGTTTGAAAAACTCTTTTTGTATTATCTGGAACCGGACATTTGGAGTGCTTTGAGGTCTATGGTGAAAAGGGAAATATCTTCCCATAAAAACTAGACAGAAGCATTCTCAAAAACTTGTTTGTGATGTGTGGACTCAACTAACAGATTTGAAGCTTTCTTTTGATAGAGCAGTTTTGAAACACTCTTTTTGAAGAACCTGCAAGTAGATATTTCGATATCTTTGAGGATTTCTTTGGAAAAGGGAATATCTTCTTATAAAATCTAGAGAGAAGCATTCTCAGAAACATCTTTGGATGTTTGCTTTCAAGTCAGAGAGTTGAACATTCCCTTTCAGAGAGCAAGTTTGAAACACTGTTTTTGTAGTATCTTGAGATGACTTTTGGAGCGCTTTGTGGCCTATGGTGAAAAAGGAAATATCTTCCCATAAAAACTAGACAGAAGCATTCTCAGAAACTTGTTTGTGATGTGTGTATTCAACTAACAGAGATGAACCTTTCTTTTTACAGAGCAGTTTTGAAACACTCTTTTTGTGGAATCTGAAAGTGGATATTTGGATAACTTTGAGGATTTCGTTGGAAACGGGATTACATATGAAATCTAGGGAGAAGCATTCTCAGGAACTTCTTTGTGATGTTTGCATTCAAGTCACAGAACTGAACATTCCCTTTCATAGAGCATGTTTGAAACACTCTTTCTGTAGTATCTGCAAACGGACATTTCAAGCGCTTTCAGGCCTATGGTGAGAAAGGAAATATCTTCAAATAAAAACTAGACAGAAGCATTCTCAGAAACTTATTTGCGATGTGTGTCCTCAACTAACAGACTTGAACCTTTGTTTTGATACAACATGTTGGAAACACTCTTTTTGTAGAATCTGCAGGTGGATATTTGGATAGCTTTGAAGGTTTCGTTGGAAACGGGAATATCTTCATATAAAATCAAGACAGAAGCATTCTCAGAAACTTCTCTGTGATGTTTGCATTCAACTCATAGAGTTGAACACTTCCCTTCATAGAGCAGGTTTGAAACACTCTTTTTGTAATATTTGGAAGTGGACATTTGCAGCGCTTTGAGGCCTATGTTGAAAAAGGAAATATCTTCTCCTAAAAACCAGACAGAAGCATTCTCAGGAACTTCCTTGTGATGTGTGTACTCAAGTAACAGAGTTGAACCTTACTTTTGACAGAGCCGTTTTGAAACAGTCTTTTTGTAGAATCTGGAAGTAGATATTTGGATACCTTTGAAGATTTCTTTGGAAACGGGATATCTTCATATAAAATCTAGACAGAAGCATTCTCAGAAACTTCTTTGTGCTGTATGTCCTCAATTAACAGAGTTGAACCTTTGTGTGGATACAGCATTTTGGAAACATTCCTTTAGTAGAATCTGCATGTTGATATTTAGATAGCTAGGAAGATTTCCTTGGAAACGGGAATATCTTCATATAAAATCTCGACGGAAGCATTCTCAGAAACTGCTTTGTGATGTCTTCATTCAAGTCACAGAGTAGAATGTTCCCTTTTATAGAGCAGGTTTGAAACACTCTGTGCACTACCTGGAAGTGGACATTTGGAGCGCTTTGAGGCCTATGTTGAAAAAGGAAATATCTTCCCATAGAAACTAGACAGAAGCATTCTCAGAAACTTGTTTGTGATGTGTGTATTCAACTAACAGAGATGAACCTTTCTTTTTAGAGAGCAGTTTTGAAACACTCTTTTTGTGGAATCTGAAAGTGGATATTTGGATAGCTTTGAGGATTTCGTTGGAAACGGGATTACATGTAAAATCTAGAGAGAAGCATTCTCAGGAACTTCTTTGTGATGTTTGCATTCAAGTCACAGAACTGAACATTCCCTTTCATAGAGCATGTTTGAAACACTCTTTCTGTAGTATCTGCAAACGGACATTTCAAGCGCTTTCAGGCCTATGGTGAGAAAGGAAATATCTTCAAATAAAAACTAGACAGAAGCATTCTCAGAAACTTATTTGCGATGTGTGTCCTCAACTAACAGAGTTGAACCTTTGTTTTGATACAACATTTTGGAAACACTCTTTTTGTAGAATCTGCAGGTGGATATTTGGATAGCTTTGAAGGTTTCGTTGGAAACGGGAATATCTTCATATAAAATCAAGACAGAAGCATTCTCAGAAACTTCTCTGTGATTTTTGCATTCAACTCATAGATTTGAACACTTCCCTTCATAGAGCAGGTTTGAAACACTCTTTTTGTAATATTTGGAAGTGGGCATTTGCAGCGCTTTGAGGCCTATGTTGAAAAAGGTAATATCTTCTCCTAAAAACCAGACAGAAGCATTCTCAGAAACTTCCTTGTGATGTGTGTACTCAAGTAACAGAGTTGAACCTTCCTTTTGACAGAGCCGTTTTGAAACAGTCTTTTTGTAGAATCTGGAAGTAGATATTTGGATACCTTTGAGGATTTCTTTGGAAACGGGATATCTTCATATAAAATCTAGACAGAAGCATTCTCAGAAACTTCTTTGTGATGTTTGCACTCAAATCACAGAGCTGAACATTCCCTTTCTTAGAGCACGTTTGAAACTCTCTTTTTGTAGTATCTGGAAGTGGACATTTGGAGTGATTTGAGGCCTATGGTGAAAAAGCAAATATCTTCCCATTAAAACTAGACAGAAGCATTCTCAAAACTTGATTGTGATGTGCGTACTCAAGTAAGAGAGTTGAACCATTCTTTTGATAGAACTGTTTTGAAACACTCTTTTTGTAGAATCTGCAAGTGCGTATTTGGATAGCTTTGAGGATTTCATTGCAAATGGGAATATCCATATAAAAAGTAGACAGAAGGATTCTCAGAAACTTCTTTGTAATGTTTGTATTCAAGTCACAGAGGTGAACATTGCCTTTCATAAAGCAGGTTTGACACACTCTTTTTATAGTATCTGGAAGTGGACATCTGGAGCGCTTTGAGGACTATGGTGAAAAAGGAACTATCTTCTCATAAAAACTAGAAAGAATCATTCTCAGAAACTTGTTTGTTATGTATGTACCCAACTAACAGAGTTGAACCTTTGTTTTGATAGAGCAGTTTTAAAGCAGTCTTTTTGTAGAACCTGCAAGTGGATATTTGGATAGCTTTGAGGATTTCTTTCGAAACGGGCATGTCAATATAAAAAGTAGACAGAAGCCTTCTCAGAAACTTCTTTGTAATGTTTGTATTCAACTCACAGAATTGAACATTCCCTTTCATAGAGGAGGTTTGAAACAGTCTTTTTTAGTATGTGGAAGTTGACATTTGGAGCACTTTGAGGCCTATGTTGAAAAAGGAAATATCTTCTCATAAAAACTAGACAGAAGCATTCTCAGAATCATGTTTGTGATGTGTGTACTCAACAAACAGAGTTGAACCTTTCTTTTCATAGAGCACTTTTGAAACACTCTTTTTGTAGAATCTGCAAGTGTATATTTGGATAGCTTTCAGGATTTCATTGGAAACGGGAATATCTTCATATAAAAACCAGACAGAAGAATTCTCAGAAACTACTTTGTGATGTTTGCATTCTAATCACAGAGTTGAACATTCCCTTTCATAGAGCAGGTTTGAAACACTCTTTTTGTAGTATCTGCAAGAGGACATTTGGAGTGCTTTGAGGTCTATGGTGAAAAAGGAAGTATCTTCCCATGAAAACGAGATAGAAGCAATCTCATAAACTTGTTTATGCTGTATCTCCTCAAGAAACAGTGTTGAACCTTTCTATTGATATAGCAGTTTTGAAACACTCCTTTTGTAGAATTTGCCAGTGGATATTTCGATAGCTTTGAGGATTTCGTTGGAAACGGGAATGTCTTCGTATAAAATATAGACAGAAGCATTCTCAGAAACTTCTTCATGATGTTTGCATTCAAGTCACATATTTGAACATTCCCATTCATAGAGCAGGTTTGAAAAACTCTTTTTGTATTATCTGGAACCGGACATTTGGAGTGCTTTGAGGTCTATGGTGAAAAGGGAAATATCTTCCCATAAAAACTAGACAGAAGCATTCTCAGAAACTTGTTTGTCATGTATGTACTCAACTAACAGAGTTGAACCTTTCTTTTGATAGAGCAGTTTTGAATCACTCTTTTTGTGGAATCTTCAAGTGGATATTTGGATAGCTTTGAGGCTTTCGTTGGAAACGGGAATATCTTCACATAAAAGCTAGACAGAAGCATTCTCAGAAACTTCTTTGTGATGTTTGCATTCAACTCACAGAGTTGAACATTCCTTTTCATAGAACAGATTTGAAACACTCTTTTTGAAGAATGTGCAAGTGGACATTTGGTGCGATTTGAGACCTATGGTGAAAAAGGAGATAACTTCACACAAAAAGTAGACAGAAGCATCTCAGAAACTACTTTGTGATGTGTGTACTCAACTCTCAGAGTTAAACCTTTCGTTTCATACAGTAGTTTTGAAGCACTCTACTTGTAGTATTTATAAGTGGATATTAGGACAGCTTTGAGGATTTCGTTGGAAACGGGAATATCTTCACATAGAAACTAGACAGAAGCATTGTCAGATACTTCTTTCGGATGTTTGCATTCAACTCACTGTTTTGAACATTGCTTTTCTTAGAGCTGTTTTGAAACTCTTTTGGTAGAATCTGTAAGTGGAAACGTGGAGCGCTTTGAGGCCTATGGTGAAAAAAGGAATATCTTGCCATAAAAACCAGACAGAAGCATTCTCAGAAACTTCCTTGTGTTGTGTGTACTGAACTCAGAGTTGAAGCTTTCTTTAGATAGAGCAGTTTTGGAACACTGTTCTTGTAGATTTTACAAGTGGGTTTTAGGAGAGCATTGAGGGTTTCATTGGAAACGGGATTATTTTCACATAAAACTAGACAGAAGCATTCTGAGAAACTTCTTCGTGTTGCTTGCATTCAACTCAGAGAGTTGAACATTCCTTTTCATAGAGCAGTTTTGAAACACTCTTTTTGTAGATTCTGTAAGTGGATATTTGGTTCACTTAGAAGCCTATGGTGAAAAAGGAAATATCTTCGCATAAAAAATAGACAGAATTCTCAGAAACTTCCTTGTGATGTGTGTACTCAACTCACAGAGTTGAACTATTCTATTGATCGAGCAGTTTTGAAACACTTTTTGTAGAAACTGCAAGTGGATATGTGGATAGCTTGGAGGATTTCATTGGAAACGGGATTTTCTTTACATAAAAACCAGGCAGTAGCATTCTCAGAAACTACTTTGTGGTATTTGCATTCAACTCACAGAGTTGAACATTCCTTTCCATAGAGAAGTTTTGAAACACTCTTTTGTAGTATCTGGAAGTGGACATTTTGAGCGCTTTGAAGCCTATGGTGAAAAACAAAATTTCCTCACATAAAAACGAGACAGAAGCATTCTCAGAAACTTCTTTGTGATGTGTGTACTCAACTCACAGAGTTTAACATTTCTTTTGATACAGCAGGTTTGAAACACACTTTTTGTGGAATCTGCAAGTGGATATTTTGATAGCTTTGAGGCTTTCGTTGGAAACGGGAATATCTTCACATAAAAATTAGACAGAAGCATTCTCAGAAACTTCTTTGTGATGTTTGCATTCAACTCACAGACTTGAACATTCCCTTTCATAGAGCAGTTTTGAAACACTCTTTTTGTGAAATCTGCAAGTGGACATTTGGAGTGATTTGAGACCTGTGCTGAAAAACAAAATACCTTCACATAAAAAGTGGACAGAAGCATTCTCAGAAACTACTTTGTGAGGTGTGTACTCAACTCACAGAGTTAAACCTTTCCTTTGATATAGCAGTTTTGAAACTCTCTTCTTGTAGTCTTTACAAGTGGATATTAGGACAGCTTTGAGTATTTCATTTGAAACGGGAATACCTTCACATAAAAACTAGACAGAAGCATTCTGAGAAACTTCTTTGTGATGCTTGCATTCAACTCACTGAGTTGAACATTCCTTTTCATAGAGCAGTTTGGAAACACTCCTTTTGTAGAATGTGTAAGTGGAAACTTGGAGCTCTTTGAGGCCCATGGTGAAAAAGGTAATATCCTCCCATAAAAACTAGACAGAAGAATTCTCAGAAACTTCTTTGTGATGTGTGTACTCAACTCACAGAGTTGAACTTTTCTTTTCATAGAGCAGTTTTGAATCACACTTTTTGTTGAATCTGCAAGTGGATATTTGGATACCTTTGAGGATTTCGTTGGAAACGGGAATATCTACACATAAAACCAGACAGAAGCATTCTCAGAAACTACTGTGTGATGTTTGCATTCACCTCACAGAGATGAACATTCCTTTTGATAGAGAAGTTTTGAAACACTATTTTTGTTGTATCTGGTAGTTGACATTTGGGTCACTTTGACGCCTATGGTGAAAAACGAAATATCCTCACATAAAAACTAGGCAGAAGCATTCTCAGAAACTTGTTTGTGACGTGTGTACTCAACTAACAGAGTTGAACCTTTCTTTTGATAGAGCAGTTTTGAAACACTCTTTTTGTAGAATCTGCAGTGGATATTTGCATTGCTTTGAGGATTTCATTGGAAACGGGAATATCTTCATATAAAATCTAGACAGAAGCATTCTCAGAAACTGCTTTGTGATGTCTTCATTCAAGTCACAGAGTAGAACGTTCCCTTTCATAGAGCAGGTTTGAAACACTCTGTGCACTACCTGGAAGTGGACATTTGGAGCGCTTTGAGGCCTATGTTGAAAAAGGAAATATCTTCCCATAGAAACTAGACAGAAGCATTCTCAGAAACTTGTTTGTGATGTGTGTATTCAACTAACAGAGATGAACCTTTCTTTTTACAGAGCAGTTTTGAAACACTCTTTTTGTGGAATCTGAAAGTGGATATTTGGATAGCTTTGAGGATTTCGTTGGAAACGGGATGACATATAAAATCTAGGGAGAAGCATTCTCAGGAACTTCTTTGTGATGTTTGCATTCAAGTCACAGAACTGAACATTCCCTTTCATAGAGCAGGTTTGAAACACTCTTTCTGTAGTATCTGCAAGCGGACGTTTCAAGCGCTTTCAGGCCTGTGGTGAAAAAGGAAATATCTTCAAATAAAAACTAGACAGAAGCATTCTCAGAAACTTATTTGCGATGTGTGTTCTCAACTAACAGAGTTGAACCTTTGTTTTGATACAGCATTTTGGAAACACTCTTTTTGTAGGATCTGCAGGTGGATATTTGGATAGCTTAGAAGGTTTCGTTGGAAACGGGAATATCTTCATATAAAATCAAGACAGAAGCATTCTCAGAAACTTCTCTGTGATGTTTGCATTCAACTCATGGAGTTGAACACTTCCTTTCATAGAGCAGGTTTGAAACAGTCTGTGCACTACCTGGAAGTGGACATTTGGAGCGCTTTGAGGCCTATGTTGAAAAAGGAAATATCTTCCCATAAAAACTAGACAGAAGCATTCTCAGAAACTTGTTTGTGATGTGTGTATTCAACTAACAGAGATGAACCTTTCTTTTTACAGAGCAGTTTTAAAACACTCTTTTTGTGGAATCTGAAAGTGGATATTTGGATAGCTTTGAGGATTTCGTTGGAAACGGGATTACATATAAAATCTAGGGAGAAGCATTCCTCAGGAACTTCTTTGTGATGTTTGCATTCAAGTCACAGAACTGAACATTCCCTTTTATAGAGCAGTTTGAAACACTCTTTCTGTTAGTATTTGCAAGCGGACGTTTCAAGCGCTTTCAGGCCTATGGTGAGAAAGGAAATATCTTCAAGTAAAAACTAGACAGAAGCATTCTCAGAAACTTATTTGCCATGTGTGTTCTCAACTAACAGAGTTGAACCTTTGTTTGGATTCGGCATTTTGGAAACACTCTTTTTGTAGAATCTGCAGGTGGATATTCGGATAGCTTTGAAGGTTTCGTTGGAAACGGGAATATCTTCATATAAAATCTAGACGGAAGCATTCTCAGAAACTGCTTTGTGATGTTTTCATTCAAGTCACAGAGTAGAATGTTCCCTTTTATATACCAGGTTTGAGACACTCTTTCTGCACTATCTGGAAGTGGACATTTGGAGCGCTTTGAGGCCTATGATGAAAAAGGAAATATCTTCCCATAAAAACTAGACAGAAGCATTCTCAGAAACTTGTTTGTGATGTGTGTATTCAACTAACAGAGATGAACCTTTCTTTTTACAGAGCAGTTTTGAAACACTCTTTTTGTGGAATTTGAAAGTGTATATTTGGATAGCTTTGAGGATTTCGTTGGAAACGGGATTACATATAAAATCTAGAGAGAAGCATTCTCAGGAACTTCTTTGTGATGTTTGCATTCACGTCACAGAACTGAACATTCCCTTTCATAGAGCATGTTTAAAACACTCTTTCTGTAGTATCTGCAAACGGACATTTCAAGCGCTTTCAGGCCTATGGTAAGAAAGGAAATATCTTCAAATAAAAACTAGACAGAAGCATTCTCAGAAACTTATTTGCGATGTGTGTCCTCAACTAACAGAGTTGAACCTTTGTTTTGATACAACATTTTGGAAACACTCTTTTTGTAGAATCTGCAAGTGGATATTTGGATAGCTTTGAAGGTTTCGTTGGAAACGGGAATATCTTCATATAAAATCAAGACAGAAGCATTCTCAGAAACTTCTCTGTGATGTTTGCATTCAACTCATAGAGTTGAACACTTCCCTTCATAGAGCAGGTTTGAAACACTCTTTTTGTAATATTTGGAAGTGGACATTTGCAGCGCTTTGAGGCCTATGTTGAAAAAGGAAATATCTTCTCCTAAAAACCAGACAGAAGCATTCTCAGAAACTTCCTTGTGATGTGTGTACTCAAGTAACAGAGTTGAACCTTACTTTTGACAGAGCCGTTTTGAAACAGTCTTTTTGTAGAATCTGGAAGTAGATATTTGGACACCTTTGAGGATTTCTTTGGAAACGGGATGTCTTCATATAAAATCTAGACAGAAGCATTCTCAGAAACTTCTTTGTGCTGTATGTCCTCAATTAACAGAGTTGAACCTTTGTGTGGATACAGCATTTTGGAAACATTCCTTTAGTATAATCTGCAAGTTGATATTTAGATAGCTAGGAAGATTTCCTTGGAAACGGGAATATCTTCATATAAAATCTAGACGGAAGCATTCTCAGAAAGTGCTTTGTGATGTTTGCATTCAAGTCACAGAGTTGAATATTCCCTTTTATAGAGCAGGTTTGAAACACTCTTTCTGCACTACCTGGAAGTGGACATTTGGAGCGCTTTGAGGCCTATGTTGAAAAAGGAAATATCTTCCCATAAAAACTAGACAGAAGCATTCTCAGAAACTTGTTTGTGATGTGTGTATTCAACTAACAGAGATGAACCTTTCTTTTTACAGAGCAGTTTTGAAACACTCTTTTTGTGGAATCTGAAAGTGGATATTTGGATAGCTTTGAGGATTTCGTTGGAAACGGGATTACATATAAAATCTAGAGAGAAGCATTCTCAGGAACTTCTTTGTGATGTTTGCATTCAAGTCACAGAACTGAACATTCCCTTTCTTAGAGCATGTTTGAAACACTCTTTCTGTAGTATCTGCAAGCGGACGTTTCAAGCGCTTTCAGGCCTATGGTGAGAAAGGAAATATCTTCAAGTAAAAACTAGACAGAAGCATTCTCAGAAACTTATTTGCCATGTGTGTTCTCAACTAACAGAGTTGAACCTTTGTTTGGATACGGCATTTTGGAAACACTCTTTTTGTAGAATCTGCAGGTGGATATTCGGATAGCTTTGAAGGTTTCGTTGGAAACGGGAATATCTTCATAGAAAATCTAGACGGAAGCATTCTCAGAAACTGCTTTGTGATGTTTTCATTCAAGTCACAGAGTAGAATGTTCCCTTTTATACACCAGGTTTGAGACACTCTTTCTGCACTATCTGGAAGTGGACATTTGGAGCGCTTTGAGGCCTATGATGAAAAAGGAAATATCTTCCCATAAAAACTAGACAGAAGCATTCTCAGAAACTTGTTTGTGATGTGTGTATTCAACTAACAGAGATGAACCTTTCTTTTTACAGAGCAGTTTTGAAACACTCTTTTTGTGGAATCTGAAAGTGGATATTTGGATAGCTTTGAGGATTTCGTTGGAAACGGGATTACATATAAAATCTAGAGAGAAGCATTCTCAGGAACTTCTTTGTGATGTTTGCATTCACGTCACAGAACTGAACATTCCCTTTCATAGAGCATGTTTAAAACACTCTTTCTGTAGTATCTGCAAACGGACATTTCAAGCGCTTTCAGGCCTATGGTAAGAAAGGAAATATCTTCAAATAAAAACTAGACAGAAGCATTCTCAGAAACTTATTTGCGATGTGTGTCCTCAACTAACAGAGTTGAACCTTTGTTTTGATACAACATTTTGGAAACACTCTTTTTGTAGAATCTGCAAGTGGATATTTGGATAGCTTTGAAGGTTTCGTTGGAAACGGGAATATCTTCATATAAAATCAAGACAGAAGCATTCTCAGAAACTTCTCTGTGATGTTTGCATTCAACTCATAGAGGTGAACACTTCCCTTCATAGAGCAGGTTTGAAACACTCTTTTTGTAATATTTGGAAGTGGACATTTGCAGCGCTTTGAGGCCTATGTTGAAAAAGGAAATATCTTCTCCTAAAAACCAGACAGAAGCATTCTCAGAAACTTCCTTGTGATGTGTGTACTCAAGTAACAGAGTTGAACCTTACTTTTGACAGAGCCGTTTTGAAACAGTCTTTTTGTAGAATCTGGAAGTAGATATTTGGACACCTTTGAGGATTTCTTTGGAAACGGGATATCTTCATATAAAATCTAGACAGAAGCATTCTCAGAAACTTCTTTGTGCTGTATGTCCTCAATTAACAGAGTTGAACCTTTGTGTGGATACAGCATTTTGGAAACACTCCTTTAGTAGGATATGCAAGTTGATATTTAGATAGCTAGGAAGATTTCCTTGGAAACGGGAATATCTTCATATAAAATCTAGACGGAAGCATTCTCAGAAAGTGCTTTGTGATGTTTGCATTCAAGTCACAGAGTTGAATATTCCCTTTTATAGAGCAGGTTTGAGACACTCTTTCTGCACTATCTGGAAGTGGACATTTGGAGCGCTTTGAGGCCTATGTTGAAAAAGGAAATATCTTCCCATAAAAACTAGACAGAAGCATTCTCAGAAACTTGTTTGTGATGTGTGTATTCAACTAACAGAGATGAACCTTTCTTTTTACAGAGCAGTTTTGAAACACTCTTTTTGTGGAATCTGAAAGTGGATATTTGGATAGCTTTGAGGATTTCGTTGGAAACGGGATTACATATAAGATCTAGAGAGAAGCATTCTCAGGAACTTCTTTGTGATGTTTGCATTCAAGTCACAGAACTGAACATTCCCTTTCATAGAGCAGGTTTGAAACACTCTTTCTGTAGTATCTGCAAGCGGACGTTTCAAGCGCTTTCAGGCCTATGGTGAGAAAGGAAATATCTTCAAGTAAAAACTAGACAGAAGCATTCTCAGAAACTTATTTGCCATGTGTGTTCTCAACTAACAGAGTTGAACCTTTGTTTTGATACGGCATTTTGGAAACACTCTTTTTGTAGAATCTGCAGGTGGATATTCGGATAGCTTTGAAGGTTTCGTTGGAAACGGGAATAACTTCATATAAAATCTAGACGGAAGCATTCTCAGAAACTGCTTTGTGATGTTTTCATTCAAGTCACAGAGTAGAATGTTCCCTTTTATATACCAGGTTTGAGACACTCTTTCTGCACTATCTGGAAGTGGACATTTGGAGCGCTTTGAGGCCTATGATGAAAAAGGAAATATCTTCCCATAAAAACAAGACAGAAGCATTCTCAGAAACTTGTTTGTGATGTGTGTATTCAACTAACAGAGATGAACCTTTCTTTTTACAGAGCAGTTTTGAAACACTCTTTTTGTGGAATCTGAAAGTGGATATTTGGATAGCTTTGAGGATTTCGTTGGAAACGGGATTACATTTAAGATCTAGAGAGAAGCATTCTCAGGAACTTCTTTGTGATGTTTGCATTCAAGTCACAGAACTGAACATTCCCTTTCATAGAGCATGTTTGAAACACTCTTTCTGTAGTATCTGCAAACGGACATTTCAAGCGCTTTCAGGCCTATGGTAAGAAAGGAAATATCTTCAAATAAAAACTAGACAGAAGCATTCTCCGAAACTTATTTGCGATGTGTGTCCTCAACTAACAGAGTTGAACCTTTGTTTTGATACAACATTTTGGAAACACTCTTTTTGTAGAATCTGCAAGTGGATATTTGGATAGCTTTGAAGGTTTCGTTGGAAACGGGAATATCTTCATATAAAATCAAGACAGAAGCATTCTCAGAAACTTCTCTGTGATGTTTGCATTCAACTCATAGAGTTGAACACTTCCCTTCATAGAGCAGGTTTGAAACACTCTTTTTGTAATATTTGGAAGTGGACATTTGCAGCGCTTTGAGGCCTATGTTGAAAAAGGAAATATCTTCTCCTAAAAACCAGACAGAAGCATTCTCAGAAACTTCCTTGTGATGTGTGTACTCAAGTAACAGAGTTGAACCTTACTTTTGACAGAGCCGTTTTGAAACAGTCTTTTTGTAGAATCTGGAAGTAGATATTTGGATACCTTTGAGGATTTCTTTGGAAACGGGATATCTTCATATAAAATCTAGACAGAAGCATTCTCAGAAACTTCTTTGTGCTGTATGTCCTCAATTAACAGAGTTGAACCTTTGTGTGGATACAGCATTTTGGAAACATTCCTTTAGTAGAATCTGCAAGTTGATATTTAGATAGCTAGGAAGATTTCCTTGGAAATGGGAATATCTTCATATAAAATCTAGACGGAAGCATTCTCAGAAAGTGCTTTGTGATGTTTGCATTCAAGTCACAGAGTTGAATATTCCCTTTTATAGAGCAGGTTTGAAACACTCTTTCTGCACTACCTGGAAGTGGACATTTGGAGCGCTTTGAGGCCTATGTTGAAAAAGGAAATATCTTCCCATAAAAACTAGACAGAAGCATTCTCAGAAACTTGTTTGTGATGTGTGTATTCAACTAACAGAGATGAACCTTTCTTTTTACAGAGCAGTTTTGAAACACTCTTTTTGTGGAATCTGAAAGTGGATATTTGGATAGCTTTGAGGATTTCGTTGGAAACGGGATTACATATAAAATCTAGAGAGAAGCATTCTCAGGAACTTCTTTGTGATGTTTGCATTCAAGTCACAGAACTGAACATTCCCTTTCATAGAGCATGTTTGAAACACTCTTTCTGTAGTATCTGCAAGCGGACGTTTCAAGCGCTTTCAGGCCTATGGTGAGAAAGGAAATATCTTCAAGTAAAAACTAGACAGAAGCATTCTCAGAAACTTATTTGCCATGTGTGTTCTCAACTAACAGAGATGAACCTTTCTTTTTACAGAGCAGTTTTGAAACACTCTTTTTGTGGAATCTGAAAGTGGATATTTGGATAGCTTTGAGGATTTCGTTGGAAACGGGATTACATATAAGATCTAGAGAGAAGCATTCCAGGAACTTCTTTGTGATGTTTGCATTCAAGTCACAGAACTGAACATTCCCTTTCATAGAGCATGTTTGAAACACTCTTTCTGTAGTATCTGCAAACGGACATTTCAAGCGCTTTCAGGCCTATGGTAAGAAAGGAAATATCTTCAAATAAAAACTAGACAGAAGCATTCTCAGAAACTTATTTGCGATGTGTGTCCTCAACTAACAGAGTTGAACCTTTGTTTTGATACAACATTTTGGAAACACTCTTTTTGTAGAATCTGCAAGTGGATATTTGGATAGCTTTGAAGGTTTCGTTGGAAACGGGAATATCTTCATATAAAATCAAGACAGAAGCATTCTCAGAAACTTCTCTGTGATGTTTGCATTCAACTCATAGAGTTGAACACTTCCCTTCATAGAGCAGGTTTGAAACACTCTTTTTGTAATATTTGGAAGTGGACATTTGCAGCTCTTTGAGGCCTATGTTGAAAAAGGAAATATCTTCTCCTAAAAACCAAACAGAAGCATTCTCAGAAACTTCCTTGTGATGTGTGTACTCAAGTAACAGAGTTGAACCTTACTTTTGACAGAGCCGTTTTGAAACAGTCTTTTTGTAGAATCTGGAAGTAGATATTTGGATACCTTTGAGGATTTCTTTGGAAACGGGATATCTTCATATAAAATCTAGACAGAAGCATTCTCAGAAACTTCTTTGTGCTGTATGTCCTCAATTAACAGAGTTGAACCTTTGTGTGGATACAGCATTTTGGAAACATTCCTTTAGTAGGATATGCAAGTTGATATTTAGATAGCTAGGAAGATTTCCTTGGAAACGGGAATATCTTCATATAAAATCTAGACGGAAGCATTCTCAGAAAGTGCTTTGTGATGTTTGCATTCAAGTCACAGAGTTGAATATTCCCTTTTATAGAGCAGGTTTGAAACACTCTTTCTGCACTACCTGGAAGTGGACATTTGGAGCGCTTTGAGGCCTATGTTGAAAAAGGAAATATCTTCCCATTAAAACTAGACAGAAGCATTCTCAGAAACTTGTTTGTGATGTGTGTATTCAACTAACAGAGATGAACCTTTCTTTTTACAGAGCAGTTTTGAAACACTCTTTTTGTGGAATCTGAAAGTGGATATTTGGATAGCTTTGAGGATTTCGTTGGAAACGGGATTACATATAAAATCTAGAGAGAAGCATTCTCAGGAACTTCTTTGTGATGTTTGCATTCAAGTCACAGAACTGAACATTCCCTTTCATAGAGCATGTTTGAAACACTCCTTCTGTAGTATCTGCAAGCGGACGTTACAAGCGCTTTCAGCCCTATGGTGAGAAAGGAAATATCTTCAAGTAAAAACTAGACAGAAGCATTCTCAGAAACTTATTTGCCATGTGTGTTCTCAACTAACAGAGTTGAACCTTTGTTTTGATACGGCATTTTGGAAACACTCTTTTTGTAGAATCTGCAGGTGGATATTCGGATAGCTTTGAAGGTTTCGTTGGAAACGGGAATATCTTCATATAAAATCTAGACGGAAGCATTCTCAGAAACTGCTTTGTGATGTTTTTATTCAAGTCACAGAGTAGAATGTTCCCTTTTATATACCAGGTTTGAGACACTCTTTCTGCACTATCTGGAAGTGGACATTTGGAGCGCTTTGAGGCCTATGATGAAAAAGGAAATATCTTCCCATAAAAACTAGACAGAAGCATTCTCAGAAACTTGTTTGTGATGTGTGTATTCAACTAACAGAGATGAACCTTTCTTTTTACAGAGCAGTTTTGAAACACTCTTTTTGTGGAATCTGAAAGTGGATATTTGGATAGCTTTGAGGATTTCGTTGGAAACGGGATTACATATAAAATCTAGAGAGAAGCATTCTCAGGAACTTCTTTGTGATGTTTGCATTCACGTCACAGAACTGAACATTCCCTTTCATAGAGCATGTTTGAAACACTCTTTCTGTAGTATCTGCAAACGGACATTTCAAGCGCTTTCAGGCCTATGGTAAGAAAGGAAATATCTTCAAATAAAAACTAGACAGAAGCATTCTCAGAAACTTATTTGCGATGTGTGTCCTCAACTAACAGAGTTGAACCTTTGTTTTGATACAACATTTTGGAAACACTCTTTTTGTAGAATCTGCAAGTGGATATTTGGATAGCTTTGAAGGTTTCGTTGGAAACGGGAATATCTTCATATAAAATCAAGACAGAAGCATTCTCAGAAACTTCTCTGTGATGTTTGCATTCAACTCATAGAGTTGAACACTTCCCTTCATAGAGCAGGTTTGAAACATTCTTTTTGTAGTATTTGGAAGTGGACATTTGCAGCTCTTTGAGGCCTATGTTGAAAAAGGAAATATCTTCTCCTAAAAACCAGACAGAAGCATTCTCAGAAACTTCCTTGTGATGTGTGTACTCAAGTAACAGAGTTGAACCTTACTTTTGACAGAGCCGTTTTGAAACAGTCTTTTTGTAGAATCTGGAAGTAGATATTTGGATACCTTTGAGGATTTCTTTGGAAACGGGATATCTTCATATAAAATATAGACAGAAGCATTCTCAGAAACTTCTTTCTGCTGTATGTCCTCAATTAACAGAGTTGAACCTTTGTGTGGATACAGCATTTTGGAAACATTCCTTTAGTAGAATCTGCAAGTTGATATTTAGATAGCTAGGAAGATTTCCTTGGAAACGGGAATATCTTCATATAAAATCTGGAAGGAAGCATTCTCAGAAAGTGCTTTGTGATGTTTGCATTCAAGTCACAGAGTTGAATATTCCCTTTTATAGAGCATGTTTGAAACACTCTTTCTGCACTACCTGGAAGTGGACATTTGGAGCGCTTTGAGGCCTATGTTGAAAAAGGAAATATCTTCCCATAAAAACTAGACAGAAGCATTCTCAGAAACTTGTTTGTGATGTGTGTATTCAACTAACAGAGATGAACCTTTCTTTTTACAGAGCAGTTTTGAAACACTCTTTTTGTGGAATCTGAAAGTGGATATGTGGATAGCTTTGAGGATTTCGTTGGAAACGGGATTACATATAAAATCTAGAGAGAAGCATTCTCAGGAACTTCTTTGTGATGTTTGCATTCAAGTCACAAAACTGAACATTCCCTTTCATAGAGCATGTTTGAAACACTCTTTCTGTAGTATCTGCAAGCGGACGTTTCAAGCGCTTTCAGGCCTATGGTGAGAAAGGAAATATCTTCAAGTAAAAACTAGACAGAAGCATTCTCAGAAACTTATTTGCCATGTGTGTTCTCAACTAACAGAGTTGAACCTTTGTTTTGATACGGCATTTTGGAAACATTCCTTTAGTAGAATCTGCAAGTGGATATTTAGATAGCTAGGAAGATTTCCTTGGAAACGGGAATATCTTCATATAAAATCTAGACGGAAGCATTCTCAGAAAGTGCTTTGTGATGTTTGCATTCAAGTCACAGAGTTGAATATTCCCTTTTATAGAGCAGGTTTGAAACACTCTTTCTGCACTACCTGGAAGTGGACATTTGGAGCGCTTTGAGGCCTATGTTGAAAAAGGAAATATCTTCCCATAAAAACTAGACAGAAGCATTCTCAGAAACTTGTTTGTGATGTGTGTATTCAACTAACAGAGATGAACCTTTCTTTTTACAGAGCAGTTTTGAAACACTCTTTTTGTGGAATCTGAAAGTGGATATTTGGATAGCTTTGAGGATTTCGTTGGAAACGGGATTACATATAAAATCTAGAGAGAAGCATTCTCAGGAACTTCTTTGTGATGTTTGCATTCAAGTCACAGAACTGAACATTCCCTTTCATAGAGCATGTTTGAAACACTCTTTCTGTAGTATCTGCAAGCGGACGTTTCAAGCGCTTTCAGGCCTATGGTGAGAAAGGAAATATCTTCAAGTAAAAACTAGACAGAAGCATTCTCAGAAACTTATTTGCCATGTGTGTTCTCAACTAACAGAGTTGAACCTTTGTTTTGATACGGCATTTTGGAAACACTCTTTTTGTAGAATCTGCAGGTGGATATTCGGATAGCTTTGAAGGTTTCGTTGGAAACGGGAATATCTTCATATAAAATCTAGACGGAAGCATTCTCAGAAACTGCTTTGTGATGTTTTCATTCAAGTCACAGAGTTGAATGTTCCCTTTTATATACCAGGTTTGAAACACTCTTTCTGTAGTATCTGGAAGTGGACATTTGAAGCGCTTTGAGGCCTATGTTGAAAAAGGAAATATCTTCCCATAAAAACTAGACAGAAGCATTCTCAGAAACTTGTTTGTGATGTGTGTATTCAACTAACAGAGATTGAACCTTTGTTTTGATACAACATTTCGGAAACACTCTTTTTGTAGAATCTGCAAGTGGATATTTGGATAGCTTTGAAGGTTTCGTTGGAAACGGGAATATCTTCATATAAAATCAAGACAGAAGCATTCTCAGAAACTTCTCTGTGATGTTTGCATTCAACTCATAGAGTTGAACACTTCCTTTCATAGAGCAGGTTTGAGACACTTCTTTCTGCACTACCTGGAAGTGGACATTTGCAGCGCTTTGAGGCCTATGTTGAAAAAGGAAATATCTTCCCATAAAAACTAGACAGAAGCATTCTCAGAAACTTGTTTGTGATGTGTGTATTCAACTAACAGAGATGAACCTTTCTTTTTACAGAGCAGTTTTGAAACACTCTTTTTGTGGAATCTGAAAGTGGATATTTGGATAGCTTTGAGGATTTCGTTGGAAACGGGATTTCATATAAAATTTAGAGAGAAGCATTTTCAGGAACTTCTTTGTGATGTTTGCATTCAAGTCACAGAACTGAACATTCCCTTTCATAGAGCATGTTTGAAACACTCTTTCTGTAGTATCTGCAAACGGACATTTCAAGCGCTTTCAGGCCTATGGTAAGAAAGGAAATATCTTCAAATAAAAACTAGACAGAAGCATTCTCAGAAACTTATTTGCGATGTGTGTCCTCAACTAACAGAGTTGAACCTTTGTTTTGATACAACATTTTGGAAACACTCTTTTTGTAGAATCTGCAAGTGGATATTTGGATAGCTTTGAAGGTTTCGTTGGAAACGGGAATATCTTCATATAAAATCAAGACAGAAGCATTCTCAGAAACTTCTCTGTGATGTTTGCATTCAACTCATAGAGTTGAACACTTCCCTTCATAGAGCAGGTTTGAAACACTCTTTTTGTAATATTTGGAAGTGGACATTTGCAGCTCTTTGAGGCCTATGTTGAAAAAGGAAATATCTTCTCCTAAAAACCAGACAGAAGCATTCTCAGAAACTTCCTTGTGATGTGTGTACTCAAGTAACAGAGTTGAACCTTTGTTTTGATACAGCATTTTGGAAACACTCTTTTTGTACGATCTGCAGGTGGATATTTGGATAGCTTTGAAGGTTTCGTTGGAAACGGGAATATCTTCATATAAAATCAAGACAGAAGCATTCTCAGAAACTTCTCTGTGATGTTTGCATTCAACTCATAGAGTTGAACACTTCCCTTCATAGAGCAGGTTTGAAACACTCTTTTTGTAATATTTGGAAGTGGACATTTGCAGCGCTTTGAGGCCTATGTTGAAACAGGAAATATCTTCTCCTAAAAACCAGACAGAAGCATTCTCAGAAACTTCCTTGTGATGTGTGTACTCAAGTAACAGAGTTGAACCTTACTTTTGACAGAGCCGTTTTGAAACAGTCTTTTTGTAGAATCTGGAAGTAGATATTTGGATACCTTTGAGGATTTATTTGGAAACGGGATATCTTCATACAAATTCTAGACAGAAGCATTCTCAGAAACTTCTTTGTGCTGTATGTCCTCAATTAACAGAGTTGAACCTTTGTGTGGATACAGCATTTTGGAAACATTCCTTTAGTAGATTCTGCATGTTGATATTTAGATAGCTAGGAAGATTTCCTTGGAAACGGGAATATCTTCATATAAAATCTAGACGGAAGCATTCTGAGAAAATGCTTTGTGATGTCTTCATTCAAGTCACAGAGTAGAATGTTCCCTTTTATAGAGCAGGTTTGAAACACTCTGTGCACTACCTGGAAGTGGACATTTGGAGCGCTTTGAGGCCTATGTTGAAAAAGGAAATATCTTCCCATAGAAACTAGACAGAAGCATTCCCAGAAACTTGTTTGTGATGTGTGTATTCAACTAACAGAGATGAACCTTTCTTTTTACAGAGCAGTTTTGAAACACTCTTTTTGTGGAATCTGAAAGTGGATATTTGGAGAGCTTTGAGGATTTCGTTGGAAACGGGATTACATGTAAAATCTAGAGAGAAGCATTCTCAGGAACTTCTTTGTGATGTTTGCATTCACGTCACAGAACTGAACATTCCCTTTCATAGAGCATGTTTGAAACACTCTTTCTGTAGTATCTGCAAACGGACATTTCAAGCGCTTTCAGGCCTATGGTGAGAAAGGAAATATCTTCAAATAAAAACGAGACAGAAGCATTCTCAGAAACTTATTTGCGATGTGTGTCCTCAACTAACAGACTTGAACCTTTGTTTTGATACAACATTTTGGAAACACTCTTTTTGTAGAATCTGCAGGTGGATATTTGGATAGCTTTGAAGGTTTCTTTGGAAACGGGAATATCTTCATATAAAATCAAGACAGAAGCATTCTCAGAAACTTCTCTGTGATGTTTGCATTCAACTCATAGAGTTGAACACTTCCCTTCATAGAGCAGGTTTGAAACACTCTTTTTGTAATATTTGGAAGTGGACATTTGCAGCGCTTTGAGGCCTATGTTGAAAAAGGAAATATCTTCTCCTAAAAACCAGACAGAAGCATTCTCAGAAACTTCCTTGTGATGTGTGTACTCAAGTAACAGAGTTGAACCTTACTTTTGACAGAGCCGTTTTGAAACAGTCTTTTTGTAGAATCTGGAAGTAGATATTTGGATACCTTTGAGGATTTCTTTGGAAACGGGATATCTTCATACAAATTCTAGACAGAAGCATTCTCAGAAACTTCTTTGTGCTGTATGTCCTCAATTAACAGAGTTGAACCTTTGTGTGGATACAGCATTTTGGAAACATTCCTTTAGTAGAATCTGCATGTTGATATTTAGATAGCTAGGAAGATTTCCTTGGAAACGGGAATATCTTCATATAAAATCTAGACGGAAGCATTCTGAGAAAATGCTTTGTGATGTCTTCATTCAAGTCACAGAGTAGAATGTTCCCTTTTATAGAGCAGGTTTGAAACACTCTGTGCACTACCTGGAAGTGGACATTTGGAGCGCTTTGAGGCCTATGTTGAAAAAGGAAATATCTTCCCATAGAAACTAGACAGAAGCATTCTCAGAAACTTGTTTGTGATGTGTGTATTCAACTAACAGAGATGAACCTTTCTTTTTACAGAGCAGTTTTGAAACACTCTTTTTGTGGAATCTGAAAGTGGATATTTGGATAGCTTTGAGGATTTCGTTGGAAACGGGATTACATGTAAAATCTAGAGAGAAGCATTCTCAGGAACTTCTTTGTGATGTTTGCATTCACGTCACAGAACTGAACATTCCCTTTCATAGAGCATGTTTGAAACACTCTTTCTGTAGTATCTGCAAACGGACATTTCAAGCGCTTTCAGGCCTATGGTGAGAAAGGAAATATCTTCAAATAAAAACTAGACAGAAGCATTCTCAGAAACTTATTTGCGATGTGTGTCCTCAACTAACAGAGTTGAACCTTTGTTTTGATACAGCATTTTGGAAACATTCTTTTAGTAGAATCTGCAAGTGGATATTCAGATAGCTAGGAAGATTTCGTTGGAAACGGGAATATCTTCATATAAAATCTAGACGGAAGCATTCTCAGAAAGTGCTTTGTGATGTTTTCATTCAAGTCACAGAGTAGAATATTCCCTGTTATATAGCAGGTTTGAAACACTCTTTCTGCACTACCTGGAAGTGGACATTTGGAGCGCTTTGAGGCCTATGTTGAAAAAGGAAATATCTTCCCATAAAAACTAGACAGAAGCATTCTCAGAAACTTGTTTGTGATGTGTGTATTCAACTAACAGAGATGAACCTTTCTTTTTACAGAGCAGTTTTGCAACACTCTTTTTGTGGAATCTGAAAGTGGATATTTGGATAGCTTTGAGGATTTCGTTGGAAACGGGATTACTTATAAAATCTAGGGAGAAGCATTCTCAGGAACTTCTTTGTGATGTTTGCATTCAAGTCACAGAACTGAACATTCCCTTTCATAGGGCAGGTTTGAAACACTCTTTCTGTAGTATCTGAAAGCGGACGTTTCAAGCGCTTTCAGGCCTGTGGTGAAAAGGGAAATATCTTCAAATAAAAACTAGACAGAAGCATTCTCAGAAACTTATTTGCGATGTGTGTTCTCAACTAACAGAGTTGAACCTTTGTTTTGATACGGCATTTTGGAAACACTCTTTTTGTAGAATCTGCAGGTGGATATTCGGATAGCTTTGAAGGTTTCGTTGGAAACGGGAATATCTTCATATAAAATCTAGACGGAAGCATTCTCAGAAACTGCTTTGTGATGTTTTCATTGAAGTCACAGAGTAGAATGTTCCCTTTTATATACCAGG
This sequence comes from Homo sapiens, assembly GCF_000001405.40. Lineage (NCBI taxonomy): Eukaryota > Metazoa > Chordata > Mammalia > Primates > Hominidae > Homo > Homo sapiens. The sequence continues at coordinate 60,628,162 of NC_000009.12, read as the reverse complement.
TTTGAGACACTCTTTCTGCACTATCTGGAAGTGGACATTTGGAGCGCTTTGAGGCCTATGATGAAAAAGGAAATATCTTCCCATAAAAACTAGACAGAAGCATTCTCAGAAACTTGTTTGTGATGTGTGTATTCAACTAACAGAGATGAACCTTTCTTTTTACAGAGCAGTTTTGAAACAGTCTTTTTGTAGAATCTGGAAGTAGATATTTGGATACCTTTGAGGATTTCTTTGGAAACGGGATATCTTCATATAAAATCTAGACAGAAGCATTCTCAGAAACTTCTTTGTGCTGTATGTCCTCAATTAACAGAGTTGAACCTTTGTGTGGATACGGCATTTTGGAAACATTCCTTTAGTAGAATCTGCAAGTTGATATTTAGATAGCTAGGAAGATTTCCTTGGAAACGGGAATATCTTCATATAAAATCTAGACGGAAGCATTCTCAGAAAGTGCTTTGTGATGTTTGCATTCAAGTCACAGAGTTGAATATTCCCTTTTATAGAGCAGGTTTGAAACACTCTTTCTGCACTACCTGGAAGTGGACATTTGGAGCGCTTTGAGGCCTATGTTGAAAAAGGAAATATCTTCCCATAAAAACTAGACAGAAGCATTCTCAGAAACTTGTTTGTGATGTGTGTATTCAACTAACAGAGATGAACCTTTCTTTTTACAGAGCAGTTTTGAAACACTCTTTTTGTGGAATCTGAAAGTGGATATTTGGATAGCTTTGAGGATTTCGTTGGAAACGGGATTACATATAAAATCTAGAGAGAAGCATTCTCAGGCACTTCTTTGTGATGTTTGCATTCAAGTCACAGAACTGAACATTCCCTTTCATAGAGCATGTTTGAAACACTCTTTCTGTAGTATCTGCAAGCGGACGTTTCAAGCGCTTTCAGGCCTATGGTGAGAAAGGAAATATCTTCAAGTAAAAACTAGACAGAAGCATTCTCAGAAACTTATTTGCCATGTGTGTTCTCAACTAACAGAGTTGAACCTTTGTTTTGATACGGCATTTTGGAAACATTCTTTTTGTAGAATCTGCGGGTGCATATTCAGATAGCTAGGAAGATTTCGTTGGAAACGGGAATATCTTCATATAAAATCTAGACGGAAGCATTCTCAGAAAGTGCTTTGTGATGTTTTCATTGAAGTCACAGAGTAGAATATTCCCTTTTATAGAGCAGGTTTGAGACACTCTTTCTGCACTATCTGGAAGTGGACATTTGGAGCGCTTTGAGGCCTATGATGAAAAAGGAAATATCTTCCCATAAAAACTAGACAGAAGCATTCTCAGAAACTTGTTTGTGATGTGTGTATTCAACTAACAGAGATGAACCTTTCTTTTTACAGAGCAGTTTTGAAACACTCTTTTTGTGGAATCTGAAAGTGGATATTTGGATAGCTTTGAGGATTTCGTTGGAAACGGGATTACGTATAAAATCTAGAGAGAAGCATTCTCAGGAACTTCTTTGTGATGTTTGCATTCACGTCACAGAACTGAACATTCCCTTTCATAGAGCATGTTTGAAACACTCTTTCTGTAGTATCTGCAAACGGACATTTCAAGCGCTTTCAGGCCTATGGTAAGAAAGGAAATATCTTCAAATAAAAACTAGACAGAAGCATTCTCAGAAACTTATTTGCGATGTGTGTCCTCAACTAACAGAGTTGAACCTTTGTTTTGATACAACATTTTGGAAACACTCTTTTTGTAGAATCTGCAAGTGGATATTTGGATAGCTTTGAAGGTTTCGTTGGAAACGGGAATATCTTCATATAAAATCAAGACAGAAGCATTCTCAGAAACTTCTCTGTGATGTTTGCATTCAACTCATAGAGTTGAACACTTCCCTTCATAGAGCAGGTTTGAAACACTCTTTTTGTAATATTTGGAAGTGGACATTTGCAGCGCTTTGAGGCCTATGTTGAAAAAGGAAATATCTTCTCCTAAAAACCAGACAGAAGCATTCTCAGAAACTTCCTTGTGATGTGTGTACTCAAGTAACAGAGTTGAACCTTACTTTTGACAGAGCCGTTTTGAAACAGTCTTTTTGTAGAATCTGGAAGTAGATATTTGGATACTTTTGAGGATTTCTTTGGAAACGGGATATCTTCATATAAAATCTAGACAGAAGCATTCTCAGAAACTTCTTTGTGCTGTATGTCCTCAATTAACAGAGTTGAACCTTTGTGTGGATACAGCATTTTGGAAACATTCCTTTAGTAGAATCTGCAAGTTGATATTTAGATAGCTAGGAAGATTTCCTTGGAAACGGGAATATCTTCATATAAAATCTAGACGGAAGCATTCTCAGAAAGTGCTTTGTGATGTTTGCATTCAAGTCACAGAGTTGAATATTCCCTTTTATAGAGCAGGTTTGAAACACTCTTTCTGCACTACCTGGAAGTGGACATTTGGAGCGCTTTGAGGCCTATGTTGAAAAAGGAAATATCTTCCCATAAAAACTAGACAGAAGCATTCTCAGAAACTTGTTTGTGATGTGTGTATTCAACTAACAGAGATGAACCTTTCTTTTTACAGAGCAGTTTTGAAACACTCTTTTTGTGGAATCTGAAAGTGGATATTTGGATAGCTTTGAGGATTTCGTTGGAAACGGGATTACATATAAAATCTAGAGAGAAGCATTCTCAGGAACTTCTTTGTGATGTTTGCATTCAAGTCACAGAACTGAACATTCCCTTTCATAGAGCATGTTTGAAACACTCTTTCTGTAGTATCTGCAAGCGGACGTTTCAAGCGCTTTCAGGCCTATGGTGAGAAAGGAAATATCTTCAAGTAAAAACTAGACAGAAGCATTCTCAGAAACTTATTTGCCATGTGTGTTCTCAACTAACAGAGTTGAACCTTTGTTTTGATACGGCATTTTGGAAACACTCTTTTTGTAGAATCTGCAGGTGGATATTCGGATAGCTTTGAAGGTTTCGTTGGAAACGGGAATATCTTCATATAAAATCTAGACGGAAGCATTCTCAGAAACTGCTTTGTGATGTTTTCATTCAAGTCACAGAGTAGAATGTTCCCTTTTATATACCAGGTTTGAGACACTCTTTCTGCACTATCTGGAAGTGGACATTTGGAGCGCTTTGAGGCCTATGATGAAAAAGGAAATATCTTCCCATAAAAACTAGACAGAAGCATTCTCAGAAACTTGTTTGTGATGTGTGTATTCAACTAACAGAGATGAACCTTTCTTTTTACAGAGCAGTTTTGAAACACTCTTTTTGTGGAATCTGAAAGTGGATATTTGGATAGCTTTGAGGATTTCGTTGGAAACGGGATTACATATAAAATCTAGAGAGAAGCATTCTCAGGAACTTCTTTGTGATGTTTGCATTCACGTCACAGAACTGAACATTCCCTTTCATAGAGCATGTTTGAAACACTCTTTCTGTAGTATCTGCAAACGGACATTTCAAGCGCTTTCAGGCCTATGGTAAGAAAGGAAATATCTTCAAATAAAAACTAGACAGAAGCATTCTCAGAAACTTATTTGCGATGTGTGTCCTCAACTAACAGAGTTGAACCTTTGTTTTGATACAACATTTTGGAAACACTCTTTTTGTAGAATCTGCAAGTGGATATTTGGATAGCTTTGAAGGTTTCGTTGGAAACGGGAATATCTTCATATAAAATCAAGACAGAAGCATTCTCAGAAACTTCTCTGTGATGTTTGCATTCAACTCATAGAGTTGAACACTTCCCTTCATAGAGCAGGTTTGAAACACTCTTTTTGTAATATTTGGAAGTGGACATTTGCAGCGCTTTGAGGCCTATGTTGAAAAAGGAAATATCTTCTCCTAAAAACCAGACAGAAGCATTCTCAGAAACTTCCTTGTGATGTGTGTACTCAAGTAACAGAGTTGAACCTTACTTTTGACAGAGCCGTTTTGAAACAGTCTTTTTGTAGAATCTGGAAGTAGATATTTGGACACCTTTGAGGATTTCTTTGGAAACGGGATATCTTCATATAAAATCTAGACAGAAGCATTCTCAGAAACTTCTTTGTGCTGTATTTCCTCAATTAACAGAGTTGAACCTTTGTGTGGATACAGCATTTTGGAAACATTCCTTTAGTAGAATCTGCAAGTTGATATTTAGATAGCTAGGAAGATTTCCTTGGAAACGGGAATATCTTCATATAAAATCTAGACGGAAGCATTCTCAGAAAGTGCTTTGTGATGTTTGCATTCAAGTCACAGAGTTGAATATTCCCTTTTATAGAGCAGGTTTGAAACACTCTTTCTGCACTACCTGGAAGTGGACATTTGGAGCGCTTTGAGGCCTATGTTGAAAAAGGGAATATCTTCCCATAAAAACTAGACAGAAGCATTCTCAGAAACTTGTTTGTGATGTGTGTATTCAACTAACAGAGATGAACCTTTCTTTTTACAGAGCAGTTTTGAAACACTCTTTTTGTGGAATCTGAAAGTGGATATTTGGATAGCTTTGAGGATTTCGTTGGAAACGGGATTACATATAAAATCTAGAGAGAAGCATTCTCAGGAACTTCTTTGTGATGTTTGCATTCAAGTCACAGAACTGAACATTCCCTTTCTTAGAGCATGTTTGAAACACTCTTTCTGTAGTATCTGCAAGCGGACGTTTCAAGCGCTTTCAGGCCTATGGTGAGAAAGGAAATATCTTCAAGTAAAAACTAGACAGAAGCATTCTCAGAAACTTATTTGCCATGTGTGTTCTCAACTAACAGAGTTGAACCTTTGTTTTGATACGGCATTTTGGAAACACTCTTTTTGTAGAATCTGCAGGTGGATATTCGGATAGCTTTGAAGGTTTCGTTGGAAACGGGAATATCTTCATATAAAATCTAGACGGAAGCATTCTCAGAAACTGCTTTGTGATGTTTTCATTCAAGTCACAGAGTAGAATGTTCCCTTTTATATACCAGGTTTGAGACACTCTTTCTGCACTATCTGGAAGTGGACATTTGGAGCGCTTTGAGGCCTATGATGAAAAAGGAAATATCTTCCCATAAAAACTAGACAGAAGCATTCTCAGAAACTTGTTTGTGATGTGTGTATTCAACTAACAGAGATGAACCTTTCTTTTTACAGAACAGTTTTGAAACACTCTTTTTGTGGAATCTGAAAGTGGATATTTGGATAGCTTTGAGGATTTCGTTGGAAACGGGATTACATATAAAATCTAGAGAGAAGCATTCTCAGGAACTTCTTTGTGATGTTTGCATTCACGTCACAGAACTGAACATTCCCTTTCATAGAGCATGTTTGAAACACTCTTTCTGTAGTATCTGCAAACGGACATTTCAAGCGCTTTCAGGCCTATGGTAAGAAAGGAAATATCTTCAAATAAAAACTAGACAGAAGCATTCTCAGAAACTTATTTGCGATGTGTGTCCTCAACTAACAGAGTTGAACCTTTGTTTTGATACAACATTTTGGAAACACTCTTTTTGTAGAATCTGCAAGTGGATATTTGGATAGCTTTGAAGGTTTCGTTGGAAACGGGAATATCTTCATATAAAATCAAGACAGAAGCATTCTCAGAAACTTCTCTGTGATGTTTGCATTCAACTCATAGAGTTGAACACTTCCCTTCATAGAGCAGGTTTGAAACACTCTTTTTGTAATATTTGGAAGTGGACATTTGCAGCGCTTTGAGGCCTATGTTGAAAAAGGAAATATCTTCTCCTAAAAACAAGACAGAAGCATTCTCAGAAACTTCCTTGTGATGTGTGTACTCAAGTAACAGAGTTGAACCTTACTTTTGACAGAGCCGTTTTGAAACAGTCTTTTTGTAGAATCTGGAAGTAGATATTTGGATACCTTTGAGGATTTCTTTGGAAACGGGATATCTTCATATAAAATCTAGACAGAAGCATTCTCAGAAACTTCTTTGTGCTGTATGTCCTCAATTAACAGAGTTGAACCTTTGTGTGGATACAGCATTTTGGAAACATTCCTTTACTAGAATCTGCAAGTTGATATTTAGATAGCTAGGAAGATTTCCTTGGAAACGGGAATATCTTCATATACAATCTAGACGGAAGCATTCCCAGAAACTGCTTTGTGATGTCTTCATTCAAGTCACAGAGTAGAATGTTCCCTTTTATAGAGCAGGTTTGAAACACTCTGTGCACTACCTGGAAGTGGACATTTGGAGCGCTTTGAGGCCTATGTTGAAAAAGGAAATATCTTCCCATAGAAACTAGACAGAAGCATTCTCAGAAACTTGTTTGTGATGTGTGTATTCAACTAACAGAGATGAACCTTTCTTTTTACAGAGCAGTTTTGAAACACTCTTTTTGTGGAATCTGAAAGTGGATATTTGGATAGCTTTGAGGATTTCGTTGGAAACGGGATTACATATAAAATCTAGGGAGAAGCATTCTCAGGAACTTCTTTGTGATGTTTGCATTCAAGTCACAGAACTGAACATTCCCTTTCATAGAGTCATGTTTGAAACACTCTTTCTGTAGTATCTGCAAACGGACATTTCAAGCGCTTTCAGGCCTATGGTGAGAAAGGAAATATCTTCAAATAAAAACTAGACAGAAGCATTCTCAGAAACTTATTTGCGATGTGTGTCCTCAACTAACAGAGTTGAACCTTTGTTTTGATACAACATTTTGGAAACACTCTTTTTGTAGAATCTGCAGGTGGATATTTGGATAGCTTTGAAGGTTTCGTTGGAAACGGGAATATCTTCATATAAAATCAAGACAGAAGCATTCTCAGAAACTTCTCTGTGATGTTTGCATTCAACTCATAGAGTTGAACACTTCCCTTCATAGAGCAGGTTTGAAACACTCTTTTTGTAATATTTGGAAGTGGACATTTGCAGCGCTTTGAGGCCTATGTTGAAACAGGAAATATCTTCTCCTAAAAACCAGACAGAAGCATTCTCAGAAACTTCCTTGTGATGTGTGTACTCAAGTAACAGAGTTGAACCTTACTTTTGACAGAGCCGTTTTGAAACAGTCTTTTTGTAGAATCTGGAAGTAGATATTTGGATACCTTTGAGGATTTCTTTGGAAACGGGATATCTTCATACAAATTCTAGACAGAAGCATTCTCAGAAACTTCTTTGTGCTGTATGTCCTCAATTAACAGAGTTGAACCTTTGTGTGGATACAGCATTTTGGAAACATTCCTTTAGTAGAATCTGCATGTTGATATTTAGATAGCTAGGAAGATTTCCTTGGAAACGGGAATATCTTCATATAAAATCTAGACGGAAGCATTCTCAGAAACTGCTTTGTGATGTATTCATTCAAGTCACAGAGTAGAATGTTCCCTTTTATAGAGCAGGTTTGAAACACTCTGTGCACTACCTGGAAGTGGACATTTGGAGCGCTTTGAGGCCTATGTTGAAAAAGGAAATATCTTCCCATAAAAACTAGACAGAAGCATTCTCAGAAACTTGTTTGTGATGTGTGTATTCAACTAACAGAGATGAACCTTTCTTTTTACAGAGCAGTTTTGAAACACTCTTTTTGTGGAATCTGAAAGTGGATATTTGGATAGCTTTGAGGATTTCGTTGGAAACGGGATTACATATAAAATCTAGGGAGAAGCATTCTCAGGAACTTCTTTGTGATGTTTGCATTCAAGTCACACAACTGAACATTCCCTTTCATAGAGCAGGTTTGAAACACTCTTTCTGTAGTATCTGCAAGCGGACGTTTCAAGCGCTTTCAGGCCTGTGGTGAAAAAGGAAATATCTTCAAATAAAAACTAGACAGAAGCATTCTCAGAAACTTATTTGCGATGTGTGTTCTCAACTAACAGAGTTGAACCTTTGTTTTGATACAGCATTTTGGAAACACTCTTTTTGTAGGATCTGCATGTGGATATTTGGATAGCTTTGAAGGTTTCGTTGGAAACGGGAATATCTTCATATAAAATCAAGACAGAAGCATTCTCAGAAACTTCTCAGTGATGTTTGCATTCAACTCATAGAGTTGAACACTTCCCTTCATAGAGCAGGTTTGAAACACTCTTTTTGTAATATTTGGAAGTGGACATTTACAGCGCTTTGAGGCCTATGTTGAAAAAGGAAATATCTTCCCATAAAAACTAGACAGAAGCATTCTCAGAAACTTGTTTGTGATGTGTGTATTCAACTAACAGAGATGAAGCTTTCTTTTTACAGAGCAGTTTTGAAACACTCTTTTTGTGGAATCTGAAAGTGGATATTTGGATAGCTTTGAGGATTTCGTTGGAAACGGGATTACATAAAAAATCTAGGGAGAAGCATTCTCAGGAACTTCTTTGTGATGTTTGCATTCAAGTCACAGAACTGAACATTCCGTTTCATAGAGCAGGTTTGAAACACTCTTTCTGTAGTATCTGCAAGCGGACGTTTCAAGCGCTTTCAGGCCTATGGTGAGAAAGGAAATATCTTCAAATAAAAACTAGACAGAAGCATTCTCAGAAACTTATTTGCGATGTGTGTTCTCAACTAACAGAGTTGAACCTTTGTTTTGATACAGCATTTTGGAAACACTCTTTTTGTAGGATCTGCAGGTGGATATTTGGATAGCTTTGAAGGTTTCGTTGGAAACGGGAATATCTTCATATAAAATCAAGACAGAAGCATTCTCAGAAACTTCTCTGTGATGTTTGCATTCAACTCATAGAGTTGAACACTTCCCTTCACAGAGCAGGTTTGAAACACTCTTTTTGTAATATTTGTAAGTGGACATTTGCAGCGCTTTGAGGCCTATGTTGGAAAAGGAAATATCTTCTCCTAAAAACCAGACAGAAGCATTCTCAGAAAGTTCCTTGTGATGTGTGTACTCAAGTAACAGAGTTGAACCTTACTTTTGACAGAGCCGTTTTGAAAAAGTCTTTTTGTAGAATCTGGAAGTAGATATTTGGATACCTTTGAGGATTTCTTTGGAAACGGGATATCTTCATAAAAAATCTAGACTGGAGCATTCTCAGAAACTTCTTTGTGCTGTATGTCCTCAATTAACAGAGTTGAAGCTTTGTGTGGATACAGCATTTTGGAAACATTCCTTTGGTAGAATCTGCAAGTTGATATTTAGATAGCTAGGAAGATTTCCTTGGGAACGGGAATATCTTCATATAAAATCTAGACGGAAGCATTCTCAGAAACTGCTTTGTGATGTCTTCAATCAAGTCACAGAGTAGAATGTTCCCTTTTATAGAGCAGGTTTGAAACACTCTGTGCACTACCTGGAAGTGGACATTTGGAGCGCTTTGAGGCCTATGTTGAAAAAGGAAATATCTTCCCATAGAAACTAGACAGAAGCATTCTCAGAAACTTGTTTGTGATGTGTGTATTCAACTAACACAGATGAACCTTTCTTTTTACAGAGCAGTTTCGAAACACTCTTTTTGTGGAATCTGAAAGTGGATATTTGGATAGCTTTGAGGATTTCGTTGGAAACGGGATGACATATAAAATCTAGGGAGAAGCATTCTCAGGAACTTCTTTGTGATGTTTGCATTCAAGTCACAGAACTGAACATTCCCTTTCATAGAGCAGGTTTGAAACACTCTTTCTGTAGTATCTGCAATCGGACGTTTCAAGCGCTTTCAGGCCTGTGGTGAAAACGGAATATCTTCATATAAAATCTAGACAGAAGCATTCTCAGAAACTTATTTGCGATGTATGTCCTCAATTAACAGAGTTGAACCTTTGTGTGGATACAGCATTTTGGAAACATACCTTTAGTAGAATCTGCAAGTTGATATTTAGATAGCTAGGAAGATTTCCTTGGAAACGGGAATATCTTCATATAAAATCTAGACGGAAGCATTCTCAGAAAGTGCTTTGTGATGTTTGCATTCAAGTCACAGAGTTGAATATTCCCTTTTATAGAGCAGGTTTGAAACACTCTTTCTGCACTACCTGGAAGTGGACATTTGGAGCGCTTTGAGGCCTATGTTGAAAAAGGAAATATCTTCCCATAAAAACTAGACAGAAGCATTCTCAGAAACTTGTTTGTGATGTGTGTATTCAACTAACAGAGATGAACCTTTCTTTTTACAGAGCAGTTTTGAAGCACTCTTTTTGTGGAATCTGAAAGTGGATATTTGGATAGCTTTGAGGATTTCGTTGGAAACGGGATTACATATAAAATCTAGAGAGAAGCATTCTCAGGAACTTCTTTGTGATGTTTGCATTCAAGTCACAGAACTGAACATTCCCTTTCATAGAGCATGTTTGAAACACTCCTTCTGTAGTATCTGCAAGCGGACGTTTCAAGCGCTTTCAGGCCTATGGTGAGAAAGGAAATATCTTCAAGTAAAAACTAGACAGAAGCATTCTCAGAAACTTATTTGCCATGTGTGTTCTCAACTAACAGAGTTGAACCTTTGTTTTGATACGGCATTTTGGAAACATTCTTTTTGTAGAATCTGCGGGTGCATATTCGGATAGCTTTGAAGGTTTCGTTGGAAACGGGAATAACTTCATATAAAATCTAGACGGAAGCATTCTCAGAAACTGCTTTGTGATGTTTTCATTCAAGTCACAGAGTAGAATGTTCCCTTTTATATACCAGGTTTGAGACACTCTTTCTGCACTATCTGGAAGTGGACATTTGGAGCGCTTTGAGACCTATGATGAAAAAGGAAATATCTTCCCATAACAACTAGACAGAAGCATTCTCAGAAACTTGTTTGTGATGTGTGTATTCAACTAACAGAGATGAACCTTTCTTTTTACAGAGCAGTTTTGAAACACTCTTTTTGTGGAATCTGAAAGTGGATATTTGATAGCTTTGAGGATTTCGTTGGAAACGGGATTACATATAAAATCTAGGGAGAAGCACTCTCAGGAATTTCTTTGTGATGTTTGCATTCAAGTCACAGAACTGAACATTCCCTTTCATAGAGCAGGTTTGAAACACTCTTTCCGTAGTATCTGCAAGCGGACGTTTCAAGCGCTTTCAGGCCTCTGGTGAAAAAGGAAATATCTTCAAATAAAAAGTAGACAGAAGAATTCTCAGAAACTTATTTGCGATGTGTGTTCTCAAATAACAGTGTTGAACCTTTGTTTTGATACAGCATTTTGGAAACACTCTTTTGCAGGATCTGCAGGTGGATATTTGGATAGCTTTGAAGGTTTCGTTGGAAACGGGAATATCTTCATATAAAATCAAGACAGAAGCATTCTCAGAAACTTCTCTGTGATGTTTGCATTCAACTCATAGAGTTGAACACTTCCTATCATGGAGCTGGTTTGAAACACTCTTTTTGTAATATTTGGAAGTGGACATTGGCAGCGCTTTGAGGCCTATGGTGAAAAAGGAGATATCTTCTCCTAAAAACCAGACAGAAGCATTCTCAGAAACTTCCTTGTGATGTGTGTACTCAAGTAACAGAGTTGAACCTTCCTTTTGACAGAGCATTTTTGTAACATTCTTTTTGTAGAATCTGCAAGTGGATATTTTGATACCTTTGAGGATTTCGTTGGACACCGGATATCTTCATATAAAATCTAGACAGAAGCATTCTCAGAAACTTCTTTGTGCTGTATGTCCTCAATTAACAGAGTTGAACCTTTGTGTGGATACAGCATTTTGGAAACATTCCGTTAGTAGAATCTGCAAGTTGATATTTAGATAGCTAGGAAGATTTCCTTGGAAACGGGAATAGCTTCATATAAAATCTAGACGGAAGCATTCTCAGAAACTGCTTTGTGATGTCTTCCATCAAGTCACAGAGTAGAATGTTCCCTTTTATAGAGCAGGTTTGAAACACTCTGTGCACTACCTGGAAGTGGACATTTGGAGCGCTTTGAGGCCTATGTTGAAAAAGGAAATATCTTCCCATAGAAACTAGACAGAAGCATTCTCAGAAACTTGTTTGTGATGTGTGTATTCAACTAACAGAGATGAACCTTTCTTTTTACAGTGCAGTTTTGAAACACTCTTTTTGTGGAATCTGAAAGTGGATATTTGGATAGCTTTGAGGATTTCGTTGGAAACGGGATGACATATAAAATCTAGGGAGAAGCATTCTCAGGAACTTCTTTGTGATGTTTGCATTCAAGTCACAGAACTGAACATTCCCTTTCATAGAGCAGGTTTGAAACACTCTTTCTGTAGTATCTGCAAGCGGACGTTTCAAGCGCTTTCAGGCCTGTGGTGAAAAAGGAAATATCTTCAAATAAAAACTAGACAGAAGCATTCTCAGAAACTTATTTGCGATGTGTCTTCTCAACTAACAGAGTTGAACCTTTGTTTTGATACAGCATTTTGGAAACACTCTTTTTGTAGGATCTGCAGGTGGATATTTGGATAGCTTTGAAGGTTTCGTTGGAAACGGGAATATCTTCATATAAAATCAAGACAGAAGCATTCTCAGAAACTTCTCTGTGATGTTTGCATTCAACTCATAGAGTTGAACACTTCCCTTCATAGAGCAGGTTTGAAACACTCTTTTTGTAATATTTGGAAGTGGACATTTGCAGCGCTTTGAGGCCTATGTTGAAAAAGGAAATATCTTCTCCTAAAAACCAGACAGAAGCATTCTCAGAAACTTCCTTGTGATGTGTGTACTCAAGTAACAGAGTTGAACCTTACTTTTGACAGAGCCGTTTTGAAAAAGTCTTTTTGTAGAATCTGGAAGTAGATATATGGATACCTTTGAGGATTTCTTTGGAAACGGGATATCTTCATAAAAAATCTAGACAGAAGCATTCTCAGAAACTTCTTTGTGCTGTATGTCCTCAATTAACAGAGTTGAACCCTTGTGTGGATACAGCATTTTGGAAACATTCCTTTAGTAGAATCTGCAAGTTGATATTTAGATAGCTAGGAAGATTTCCTTGGAAACGGGAATATCTTCATATAAAATCTGGAAGGAAGCATTCTCAGAAAGTGCTTTGTGATGTTTGCATTCAAGTCACAGAGTTGAATATTCCCTTTTATAGAGCATGTTTGAAACACTCTTTCTGCACTACCTGGAAGTGGACATTTGGAGCGCTTTGAGGCCTATGTTGAAAAAGGAAATATCTTCCCATAAAAACTAGACAGAAGCATTCTCAGAAACTTGTTTGTGATGTGTGTATTCAACTAACAGAGATGAACCTTTCTTTTTACAGAGCAGTTTTGAAACACTCTTTTTGTGGAATCTGAAAGTGGATATGTGGATAGCTTTGAGGATTTCGTTGGAAACGGGATTACATATAAAATCTAGAGAGAAGCATTCTCAGGAACTTCTTTGTGATGTTTGCATTCAAGTCACAAAACTGAACATTCCCTTTCATAGAGCATGTTTGAAACACTCTTTCTGTAGTATCTGCAAGCGGACGTTTCAAGCGCTTTCAGGCCTATGGTGAGAAAGGAACTATCTTCAACTAAAAACTAGACAGAAGCATTCTCAGAAACTTATTTGCCATGTGTGTTCTCAACTAACAGAGTTGAACCTTTGTTTTGATACGGCATTTTGGAAACACTCTTTTTGTAGAATCTGCAGGTGGATATTCGGAGAGCTTTGAAGGTTTCGTTGGAAACGGGAATATCTTCATATAAAATCTAGACGGAAGCATTCTCAGAAACTGCTTTGTGATGTTTTCATTCAAGTCACAGAGTAGAATGTTCCCTTTTATATACCAGGTTTGAGACACTCTTTCTGCACTATCTGGAAGTGGACATTTGGAGCGCTTTGAGGCCTATGATGAAAAAGGAAATATCTTCCCATAAAAACTAGACAGAAGCATTCTCAGAAACTTGTTTGTGATGTGTGTATTCAACTAACAGAGATGAACCTTTCTTTTTACAGAGCAGTTTTGAAACACTCTTTTTGTGGAATCTGAAAGTGGATATTTGGATAGCTTTGAGGATTTCGTTGGAAACGGGATTACATATAAAATCTAGGGAGAAGCATTCTCAGGAACTTCTTTGTGATGTTTGCATTCAAGTCACAGAACTGAACATTCCCTTTCATAGAGCATGTTTGAAACACTCTTTCTGTAGTATCTGCAAACGGACATTTCAAGCGCTTTCAGGCCTATGGTGAGAAAGGAAATATCTTCAAATAAAAACTAGACAGAAGCATTCTCAGAAACTTATTTGCGATGTGTATCCTCAACTAACAGAGTTGAACCTTTCTTTTGATACAACATTTTGGAAACACTCTTTTTGTGGAATCTGCAATTGGATATTTGGATAGCTTTGAAGGTTTCATTGGAAACGGGAATATCTTCATATAAAATCAAGACAGAAGCATTCTCAGAAGCTTCTCTGTGATGTTTGCATTCAACTCATAGAGATGAACACTTCCCTTCATACAGCAGGTTTGAAACACTCTTTTTGTAATATTTGGAAGTGGACATTTGCAGCGCTTTGAGGCCTATGATGAAAAAGGAAATATCTTCCCATAAAAACTAGACAGAAGCATTCTCAGAAACTTGTTTGTGATGTGTGTATTCAACTAACAGAGATGAACCTTTCTTTTTACAGAGTAGTTTTGAAACACTCTTTTTGTGGAATCCGAAAGTGGATATTTGGATAGCTTTGAGGAATTCGTTGGAAACGGGATTACATATAAAATGTAGGGAGAAGCATTCTCAGGAACTTCTTTGTGATGTTTGCATTCAAGTCACAGAACTGAACATTCCCTTTCATAGAGCAGGTTTGAAACACTCTTTCTGTAGTATCTGCAAGCGGACGTTTGAAGCGCTTTCAGGCCTGTGGTGAAAAAGGAAATATCTTCAAATAAAAACTAGACAGAAGCATTCTCAGAAACTTATTTGCCATGTGTGTTCTCAACTAAAAGAGTTGAACCTTTGTTTGGATACAACATTTCGGAAACACTCTTTTTGTAGAATCTGCAAGTGGATATTTGGATAGCTTTGAAGGTTTCGTTGGAAACGGGAATATCTTCATATAAAATCAAGACAGAAGCATTCTCAGAAACTTCTCTGTGATGTTTGCATTCAACTCATAGAGTTGAACACTTCCTTTCATAGAGCAGGTTTGAAACACTCTGTACACTACCTGGAAGTGGACATTTGCAGCGCTTTGAGGCCTATGTTGAAAAAGGAAATATCTTCCCATAAAAACTAGACAGAAGCATTCTCAGAAACTTGTTTGTGATGTGTGTATTCAACTAACAGAGATGAACCTTTCTTTTTACAGAGCAGTTTTGAAACACTCTTTTTGTGGAATCTGAAAGTGGATATTTGGATAGCTTTGAGGATTTCGTTGGAAACGGGATTACATATAAAATCTAGGGAGAAGCATTCTCAGGAACTTCTTTGTGATGTTTGCATTCAAGTCACAGAACTGAACGTTCCCTTTCATAGAGCAGGTTTGAAACACTCTTTCTGTAGTATCTGCAAGCGGACGTTTCAAGCGCTTTCAGGCCTGTGGTGAAAAAGGAAATATCTTCAAATAAAAACTAGACAGAGGCATTCTCAGAAACTTATTTGCGATGTGTGTTCTCAACTAATAGAGTTGAACCTTTGTTTTGATACAGCATTTTGGAAACACTCTTTTTGTAGGATCTGCAGGTGGATATTTGGATAGCTTTGAAGATTTCGTTGGAAAGGCGAATATCTTCATATAAAATCAACACAGAAGCCTTCTCAGAAACTTCTCTGTGATGTTTGCATTCAACTCATAGAGTTGAACACTTCCTTTCATAGAGCTGGTTTGAAATACTCTTTTTGTAATATTTGGAAGTGGACATCGGCAGCGCTTTGAAGCCTATGGTGAAAAAGGAGATATCTTCTCCTAAAAACCAGACAGAAGCATTCTCAGAATCTTTCTTGTGATGTGTGTACTCAAGTAACAGAGTTGAACCTTCATTTTGACAGAGCAGTTTTGAAGCACTCTTTTTGTAGAATCTGCAAGTGGATATTTTGATACCTTTGAGGATTTCGTTGGACACGGGATATCTTCATATAAAATCTAGACAGAAGCATTCTCAGAAACTTCTTTGTGCTGTATGTCCTCAATTAACAGAGTTGAACCTTTGTGTCGATACAGCATTTTGGAAACATTCCTTTAGTAGAATCTGCAAGTTGATATTTAGATAGCTAGGAAGATTTCCTTGGAAACGGGAATATCTTCATATAAAATCTAGCCGGAAGCATTCTCAGAAAGTGCTTTGTGATGTTTGCATTCAAGTCACAGAGTTGAATATTCCCTTTTATAGAGCAGGTTTGAAACACTCTTTTTGCACTACCTGGAAGTGGACATTTGGAGCGCTTTGAGGCCTATGTTGAAAAAGGAAATATCTTCCCATAAAAACTAGACAGAAGCATTCTCAGAAACTTGTTTGTGATGTGTGTATTCAACTAACAGAGATGAACCTTTCTTTTTACAGAGTAGTTTTGAAACACTCTTTTTGTGGAATCCGAAAGTGGATATTTGGATAGCTTTGAGGATTTCGTTGGAAACGGGATTACATATAAAATCTAGGGAGAAGCATTCTCAGGAACTTCTTTGTGATGTTTGCATTCAAGTCACAGAACTGAACATTCCCTTTCATAGAGCAGGTTTGAAACACTCTTTCTGTAGTATTTGCAAGCGAACGTTTGAAGCTCTTTCAGGCCTGTGGTGAAAAAGGAAATATCTTCAAATAAAAACTAGACAGAAGCATTCTCAGAAACTTATTTGCGATGTGTGTTCTCAACTAAAAGAGTTGAACCTTTGTTTGGATACAACATTTCGGAAACACTCTTTTTGTAGAATCTGTAAGTGGATATTTGGATAGCTTTGAAGGTTTCGTTGGAAACGGGAATATCTACATATAAAATCAAGACAGAAGCATTCTCAGAAACTTCTCTGTGATGTTTGCATTCAACTCATAGAGTTGAACACTTCCCTTCATACAGCAGGTTTGAAACACTCTTTTTCTAATATTTGGAAGTGGACATTTCCAGCGCTTTGAGGCCTATGTTGAAAAAGGAAATATCTTCTCCTAAAAAGCAGACAGAAGCATTCTCAGAAACTTCCTTGTGATGTGTGTACTCAAGTAACAGAGTTGAACCTTCCTTTGGACAGAGCAGTTTTGAAGCACTCTTTTTGTAGAATCTGCAAGTGGATATTTTGATACCTTTGAGGATTTCGTTGGACACGGGATATCTTCATATAAAATCTAGACAGAAGCATTCTCAGAAACTTCTTTGTGCTGTATGTCCTCAATTAACAGAGTTGAACCTTTGTGTGGATACAGCATTTTGGAAACATTCCTTTAGTAGAATCTGCAAGTTGATATTTAGATAGCTAGGAAGATTTCCTTGGAAACGGGAATATCTTCATATAAAATCTAGACGGAAGCATTCTCAGAAAGTGCTTTGTGATGTTTGCATTCAAGTCACAGAGTTGAATATTCCCTTTTATAGAGCAGGTTTGAAACACTCTTTCTGCACTACCTGGAAGTAGACATTTGGAGCGCTTTGAGGCCTATGTTGAAAAAGGAAATATCTTCCCATAAAAACTAGACAGAAGCATTCTCAGAAACTTGTTTGTGATGTGTGTATTCAACTAACAGAGATGAACCTTTCTTTTTACAGAGCAGTTTTGAAACACTCTTTTTGTGGAATCTGAAAGTGGATATTTGGATAGCTTTGAGGATTTCGTTGGAAACGGGATTACATATAAAACCTAGAGAGAAGCATTCTCAGGAACTTCTTTGTGATGTTGGCCTTCAAGTCACAGGACTGAACATTCCCTTTCATGGAGCAGGTTTGAAACACTCTTTCTGTAGTATCTGCAAGCTGACGTTTCAAGCGCTTTCAGGCCTATGGTGAGAAAGGAAATATCTTCAAGTAAAAACTAGACAGAAGCATTCTCAGAAACTTATTTGCCATGTGTGTTCTCAACTAACAGAGTTGAACCTTTGTTTTGATACGGCATTTTGGAAACACTCTTTTTGTAGAATCTGCAGGTGGATATTCGGATAGCTTTGAAGGTTTCGTTGGAAACGGGAATATCTTCATATAAAATCTAGACGGAAGCATTCTCAGAAACTGCTTTGTGATGTTTTCATTCAAGTCACAGAGTAGAATGTTCCCTGTTATATACCAGGTTTGAGACACTCTTTCTGCACTACCTGGAAGTGGACGTTTGGAGCGCTTTGAGGCCTATGTTGAAAAAGGAAATATCTTCCCATAAAAACTAGACAGAAGCATTCTCAGAAACTTGTTTGTGATGTGTGTATTCAACTAACAGAGATGAACCTTTCTTTTTACAGAGCAGTTTTGCAACACTCTTTTTGTGGAATCTGAAAGTGGATATTTGGATAGCTTTGAGGATTTCGTTGGAAACGGGATTACTTATAAAATCTAGGGAGAAGCATTCTCAGGAACTTCTTTGTGATGTTTGCATTCAAGTCACAGAACTGAACATTCCCTTTCATAGAGCAGGTTTGAAACACTCTTTCTGTAGTATCTGCAAGCGGACGTTTCAAGCGCTTTCAGGCCTGTGGTGAAAAAGGAAATATCTTCAAATAAAAACTAGACAGAAGCATTCTCAGAAACTTATTTGCGATGTGTGTTCTCAGCTAACAGAGTTGAACCTTTGTTTTGATACAGCATGTTGGAAACACTCTTTTTGTAGGATCTGCAGGTGGATATTTGGATAGCTTTGAAGGTTTCGTTGGAAACGGGAATATCTTTATATAAAATCAAGACAGAAGCATTCTCAGAAACTTCTCTGTGTTGTTTGCATTCAACTCATAGAGTTGAACACTTCCCTTCATACAGCAGGTTTGAAACACTCTTTTTGTAATATTTGGAAGTGGACATTTGCAGCGCTTTGAGGCCTATGTAGAAAAAGGAAATATCTTCTCCTAAAAACCAGACAGAAGCATTCTCAGAAACTTCCTTGTGATGTGTGTACTCAAGTAACAGAGTTGAACCTTACTTTTGACAGAGCCGTTTTGAAACAGTCTTTTTGTAGAATTTGGAAGTAGATATTTGGATACCTTTGAGGATTTCTTTGGAAACGGGATATCTTCATATAAAATCTAGACAGAAGCATTCTCAGAAACTTCTTTGTGCTGTATGTCCTCAATTAACAGAGTTGAACCTTTGTGTGGATACAGCATTTTGGAAACACTCCTTTAGTAGAATCTGCAAGTTGATATTTAGATAGCTAGGAAGATTTCCTTGGAAACGGGAATATCTTCACATAAAATCTAGACGGAAGCATTCTCAGAAACTGCTTTGTGATGTCTTCATTCAAGTCACAGAGTAGAATGTTCCCTTTTATAGAGCAGGTTTGAAACACTCAGTGCACTACCTGGAAGTGGACATTTGGAGCGCTTTGAGGCCTATGTTGAAAAAGGAAATATCTTCCCATAGAAACTAGACAGAAGCATTCTCAGAAACTTGTTTGTGATGTGTGTATTCAACTAACAGAGATGAACCTTTCTTTTTACAGAGCAGTTTTGAAACACTCTTTTTGTGGAATCTGAAAGTGGATATTTGGATAGCTTTGAGGATTTCGTTGGAAACGGGATTACATATAAAATCTAGGTAGAAGCATTCTCAGGAACTTCTTTGTGATGTTTGCATTCAAGTCACAGAACTGAACATTCCCTTTCATAGAGCAGCTTTGAAACACTCTTTCTGTAGCATCTGCAAGCGGAAGTTTCAAGCGCTTTCAGGCCTGTGGTGAAAAAGGAAATATCTTCAAATAAAAACTAGACAGAAGCATTCTCAGAAACTAATTTGCGATGTGTGTTCTCAACTAACAGAGTTGAACCTTTGTTTTGATACAGCATTTTGGAAACACACTTTTTGTAGGATCTGCAGGTGGATATTTGGATAGCTTTGAAGGTTTCGTTGGAAACGGGAATATCCTCATATAAAATCAAGACAGAAGCATTCTCAGAAACTTCTCTGTGATGTTTGCATTCAACTCATAGAGTTGAACACTTCCTTTCATAGAGCAGGTTTGAAACACTCTGTGCACTACCTGGAAGTGGACATTTGGAGCGCTTTGAGGCCTATGTTGAAAAAGGAAATATCTTCCCATAAAAACTAGACAGAAGCATTCTCAGAAACTTGTTTGTGATGTGTGTATTCAACTAACAGAGATGAACCTTTCTTTTTACAGAGTAGTTTTGAAACACTCTTTTTGTGGAATCCGAAAGTGGATATTTGGATAGCTTTGAGGATTTCGTTGGAAACGGGATTACATATAAAATCTAGAGAGAAGCATTCTCAGGAACTTCTTTGTGATGTTTGCATTCACGTCACAGAACTGAACATTCCCTTTCATAGAGCATGTTTGAAACACTCTTTCTGTAGTATCTGCAAACGGACATTTCAAGCGCTTTCAGGCCTACGGTAAGAAAGGAAATATCTTCAAATAAAAACTAGACAGAAGCATTCTCAGAAACTTATTTGCGATGTGTGTCCTCAACTAACAGAGTTGAACCTTTGTTTTGATACAACATTTTGGAAACACTCTTTTTGTAGAATCTGCAAGTGGATATTTGGATAGCTTTGAAGGTTTCGTTGGAAACGGGAATATCTTCATATAAAATCAAGACAGAAGCATTCTCAGAAACTTCTCTGTGATGTTTGCATTCAACTCATAGAGTTGAACACTTCCTTTCATACAGCAGGTTTGAAACACTCTTTTTGTAATATTTGGAAGTGGACATTTGCAGCGCTTTGAGGCCTATGTTGAAAAAGGAAATATCTTCTCCTAAAAACCAGACAGAAGCATTCTCAGAAACTTCCTCGTGATGTGTGTACTCAAGTAACAGAGTTGAACTTTACTTTTGACAGAGCCGTTTTGAAACAGTCTTTTTGTAGAATCTGGAACTAGATATTTGGATACCTTTGAGGATTTCTTTGGAAACGGGATATCTTCAAATAAAATCTAGACAGAAGCATTCTCAGGAACTTCTTTGTGCTATATGTCCTCAATTAACAGAGTTGAACCTTTGTGTGGATACAGCATTTTGGAAACATTCCTTTAGTAGAATCTGCAAGTTGATATTTAGATAGCTAATAAGATTTCCTTGGATACGGGAATATCTTCATATAAAATCTAGACGGAAGCATTCTCAGAAACTGCTTTGTGATGTCTTCATTCAAGTCACAGAGTAGAATGTTCCCTTTTATAGAGCAGGTTTGAAACACTCTGTGCACTACCTGGAAGTGGACATTTGGAGCGCTTTGAGGCCTATGTTGAAAAAGGAAATATCTTCCCATAGAAACTAGACAGAAGCATTCTCAGAAACTTGTTTGTGATGTGTGTATTCAGCTAACAGAGATGAACCTTTCTTTTTACAGAGTAGTTTTGAAACACTCTTTTTGTGGAATCCGAAAGTGGATATTTGGATAGCTTTGAGGATTTCGTTGGAAACGGGATTACATATAAAATCTAGGGAGAAGCATTCTCAGGAACTTCTTAGTGATGTTTGCATTCAAGTCACAGAACTGAACATTCCCTTTCATAGAGCAGGTTTGAAACCCTCTTTCTGTAGTATCTGCAAGCGGACGTTTGAAGCGCTTTCAGGCCTGTGGTGAAAAAGGAAATATCTTCAAATAAAAACTAGACAGAAGCATTCTCAGAAACTTATTTGCGATGTGTGTCCTCAACTAACAGAGTTGAACCTTTCTTTTGATACAACATTTTGGAAACACTCTTTTTGTAGAATCTGCAAGTGGATATTTGGATAGCTTTGAAGGTTTCGTTGGAAACGGGAATATCTTCATATAAAATCAAGACAGAAGCATTCTCAGAAACTTCTCTGTGATGTTTGCATTCAACTCATAGAGTTGAACACTTCCTTTCATACAGTAGGTTTGAAACACTCTTTTTGTAATATTTGGAAGTGGACATTTGCAGCGCTTTGAGGCCTATGTTGAAAAACGAAATATCTTCTCCTAAAAACCAGACAGAAGCATTCTCAGAAACTTCCTTGTGATGTGTGTACTCAAGTAACAGAGTTGAACTTTACTTTTGACAGAGCCGTTTTGAAACAGTCTTTTTGTAGAATCTGGAACTAGATATTTGGATACCTTTGAGGATTTCTTTGGAAACGGGATATCTTCATATAAAATCTAGACAGAAGCATTCTCAGGAACTTCTTTGTGCTGTATGTCCTCAATTAACAGAGTTGAACCTTTGTGTGGATACAGCATTTTGGAAACATTCCTTTAGTAGAATCTGCAAGTTGATATTTAGATAGCTAATAAGATTTCCTTGGAAAAGGGAATATCTTCATATAAAATCTAGACGGAAGCATTCTCAGAAACTGCTTTGTGATGTCTTCATTCAAGTCACAGAGTAGAATGTTCCCTTTTATAGAGCAGGTTTGAAACACTCTGTGCACTACCTGGAAGTGGACATTTGGAGCGCTTTGAAGCCTATGTTGAAAAAGGAAATATCTTCCCATAGAAACTAGACAGAAGCATTCTCAGAAACTTGTTTGTGATGTGTTTATTCAACTAACAGAGATGAACCTTTCTTTTTACAGAGTAGTTTTGAAACACTCTTTTTGTGGAATCTGAAATTGGATATTTGGATAGCTTTGAGGATTTCGTTGGAAACGGGATTACATATAAAATCTAGGGAGAAGCATTCTCAGGAACTTCTTTGTGATGTTTGCATTCAAGTCACAGAACTGAACATTCCCTTTCATAGTGCAGGTTTGAAACACTCTTTCTGTAGTATCTGCAAGCTGACGTTTCAAGCGCTTTCAGGCCTGTGGTGAAAAAGGAAATATCTTCAAATAAAAACTAGACAGAAGCACTCTCAGAAACTTATTTGTGATGTGTGTTCTCAACTAACAGAGTTGAACCTTTGTTTGGATACAACATTTTGGAAACACTCTTTTTGTAGAATCTGCAAGTGGATATTTGGATAGCTTTGAAGGTTTCGTTGTTAACGGGAATATCTTCATATAAAATCAAGACAGAAGAATTCTCAGAAACTTCTCTGTGATATTTGCATTCAACTCATAGAGTTGAACACTTCCCTTCATACAGCAGATTTGAAACACTCTTTTTGTAATATTTGGAAGTGGACATTGGCAGCGCTTTGAGGCCTATGTTGAAAAAGGATATATCTTCTCCTAAAAACCAGACAGAAGCATTCTCAGAAACTTCCTTGTGATGTGTGTACTCAAGTAACAGAGTTGAACCTTCCTTTTGACAGAGCAGTTTTGAAGCACTCTTTTTGTAGAATCTGCAAGTGGATATTTTGATACCTTTGAGGATTTCGTTGGACACGGGATATCTTCATATAAAATCTAGACAGAAGCATTCTCAGAAACTTCTTTGTGCTGTATGTCCTCAATTAACAGAGTTGAACCTTTGTGTGGATACAGCATTTTGGAAACATTCCTTTAGTAGAATCTGCAAGTTGATATTTAGATAGCTAGGAAGATTTCCTTGGAAACGGGAATATCTTCACATAAAATCTAGACGGAAGCATTCTCAGAAACTGCTGTGTGATGTCTTCATTCAAGTCACAGAGTAGAATGTTCCCTTTTATAGAGCAGGTGTGAAACTCTCAGTGCACTATCTGGAAGTGGACATTTGGAGCGCTTTGAGGCTTATGTTGAAAAAGGAAATATCTTCCCATAAAAACTAGACAGAAGCATTCTCAGAAACTTGTTTGTGATGTGTGTATTCAACTAACAGAGATGAACCTTTCTTTTTACAGAGCAGTTTTGAAACACTCTTTTTGTGGAATCTGAAAGTGGATATTTGGATAGCTTTGAGGATTTCGTTGGAAACGGGATTACATATAAAATCTAGGGAGAAGCATTCTCAGGAACTTCTTTGTGATGTTTGCATTCACGTCACAGAACTGAACATTCCCTTTCATAGAGCAGGTTTGAAACACTCTTTCTGTAGTATCTGCAAGCTGACGTTTCAAGCGCTTTCAGGCCTGTGGTGAAAAAGGAAATATCTTCAAATAAAAACTAGACAGAAGCATTCTCAGAAACTTATTTGCGATGTGTGTTCTCAACTAACAGTGTTGAACCTTTGTTTGGATACAACATTTTGGAAACACTCTTTTTGTAGAATCTGCAAGTGGATATTTGGATAGCTTCGAAGGTTTCGTTGGAAACGGGAATATCTTCATATAAAATCAAGACAGAAGCATTCTCAGAAACTTCTCTGTGATGTTTGCATTCAACTCATAGAGTTGAACACTACCTTTCATAGAGCAGGTTTGAAACACTCTGTGCACTACCTGGAAGTGGACATTTGGAGCGCTTTGAGGCCTATGTTGAAAAAGGAAATATCTTCCCATATAAACTAGACAGAAACATTCTCAGAAACTTGTTTGTGATGTGTGTATTCAACTAACAGAGATGAACCTTTCTTTTTACAGAGCAGTTTTGAAACACTCTTTTTGTGGAATCTGAAAGTGGATATTTGGATAGCTTTGAGGATTTCGTTGGAAACGGGATTACATATAAAATCTAGGGAGAAGCATTCTCAGGAACTTCTTTGTGATGTTTGCATTCAAGTCACAGAACTGAACATTCCGTTTCATAGAGCAGGTTTGAAACACTCTTTCTGTAGTATCTGCAAGCGGACGTTTCAAGCGCTTTCAGGCCTATGGTGAGAAAGGAAATATCTTCAAATAAAAACTAGACAGAAGCATTCTCAGAAACTTATTTGCGATGTGTGTTCTCAACTAACAGAGTTGAACCTTTGTTTTGATACAGCATTTTGGAAACACTCTTTTTGTAGGATCTGCAGGTGGATATTTGGATAGCTTTGAAGGTTTCGTTGGAAACGGGAATATCTTCATATAAAATCTGGACGGAAGCATTCTCAGAAACTGCTTTGTGATGTTTTCATTCAAGTCACAGAGTAGAATGTTCCCTGTTATATACCAGGTTTGAGACACTCTTTCTGCACTACCTGGAAGTGGACATTTGGAGCGCTTTGAGGCCTATGATGAAAAAGGAAATATCTTCCCATAAAAACTAGACAGAATCATTCTCAGAAACTTGTTTGTGATGTGTGTATTCAACTAACAGAGATGAACCTTTCTTTTTACAGAGCAGTTTTGAAACACTCTTTTTGTGGAATCTGAAAGTGGATATTTGGATAGCTTTGAGGATTTCGTTGGAAACGGGATTACATATAAAATCTAGGGAGAAGCATTCTCAGGAACTTCTTTGTGATGTTTGCATTCACGTCACAGAACTGAACATTCCCTTTCATAGAGCATGTTTGAAACACTCTTTCTGTAGTATCTGCAAACGGACATTTCAAACGCTTTCAGGCCTATGGTGAGAAAGGAAATATCTTCAAATAAAAACTAGACAGAAGCATTCTCAGAAACTTATTTGCGATGTGTGTCCTCAACTAACAGAGTTGAACCTTTGTTTTGATACAACATTTTGGAAACACTCTTTTTGTAGAATCTGCAAGTGGATATTTGGATAGCTTTGAAGGTTTCGTTGGAAACGGGAATATCTGCATATAAAATCAAGACAGAAACATTCTCAGAAACTTCTCTGTGATGTTTGCATTCAACTCATAGAGTTGAACACTTCCCTTCATACAGCAGGTTTGAAACACTCTTTTTGTAATATTTGGAAGTGGACATTTGCAGCGCTTTGAGGCCTATGTTGAAAAAGGAAATATCTTCTCCTAAAAACCAGACAGAAGCATTCTCGGAAACTTTCTTGTGATGTGTGTACTCAAGTAACAGAGTTGAACCTTACTTTTGACAGAGCCGTTTTGAAACAGTCTTTTTGTAGAATCTGGAAGTAGATATTTGGATACTTTTGAGGATTTCTTTGGAAACGGGATATCTTCATATAAAATCTAGACAGAAGCATTCTCAGGAACTTCTTTGTGCTGTATGTCCTCAATTAACAGAGTTGAACCTTTGTGTGGATACAGCATTTTGGAAACATTCCTTTAGTAGAATCTGCAAGTTGATATTTAGATAGCTAATAAGATTTCCTTGGAAAAGGGAACATCTTCATATAAAATCTAGACGGAAGCATTCTCAGAAACTGCTTTGTGATGTCTTCATTCAAGTCACAGAGTAGAATGTTCCCTTTTATAGAGCAGGTTTGAAACACTCTGTGCACTACCTGGAAGTGGACATTTGGAGCGCTTTGATGCCTATGTTGAAAAAGGAAATATCTTCCCATAGAAACTAGACAGAAGCATTCTCAGAAACTTGTTTGTGATGTGTGTATTCAACTAACAGAGATGACCCTTTCTTTTTACAGAGTAGTTTTGAAACACTCTTTTTGTGGAATCTGAAAGTGGATATTTGGATAGCTTTGAGGATTTCGTTGGAAACGGGATTACATATAAAATCTAGGGAGAAGCATTCTCAGGAACTTCTTTGTGATGTTTGCATTCAAGTCACAGAACTGAACATTCCCTTTCATAGTGCAGGTTTGAAACACTCTTTCTGTAGTATCTGCAAGCTGACGTTTCAAGCGCTTTCAGGCCTGTGGTGAAAAAGGAAATATCTTCAAATAAAAACTAGACAGAAGCATTCTCAGAAACTTATTTGCGATGTGTGTCCTCAACTAACAGAGTTGAACCTTTCTTTTGATACAACATTTTGGAAACACTCTTTTTGTAGAATCTGCAAGTGGATATTTGGATAGCTTTGAAGGTTTCGTTGGAAACGGGAATATCTTCATATAAAATCAAGACAGAAGCATTCTCAGAAACTTCTCTGTGATGTTTGCATTCAACTCATAGAGTTGAACACTTCCTTTCATACAGCAGGTTTGAAACACTCTTTTTGTAATATTTGGAAGTGGACATTTGCAGCGCTTTGAGGCCTATGTTGAAAAAGGAAATATCTTCTCCTAAAAACCAGACAGAAGCATTCTCAGAAACTTCCTTGTGATGTGTGTACTCAAGTAACAGAGTTGAACTTTACTTTTGACAGAGCCGTTTTGAAACAGTCTTTTTGTAGAATCTGGAACTAGATATTTGGATACCTTTGAGGATTTCTTTGGAAACGGGATATCTTCATATAAAATCTAGACAGAAGCATTCTCAGGAACTTCTTTGTGCTGTATGTCCTCAATTAACAGAGTTGAACCTTTGTGTGGATACAGCATTTTGGAAACATTCCTTTAGTAGAATCTGCAAGTTGATATTTAGATAGCTAATTAGATTTCCTTGGAAAAGGGTATATCTTCATATAAAATCTAGACGGAAGCATTCTCAGAAACTGCTTTGTGATGTCTTCATTCAAGTCACAGAGTAGTATGTTCCCTTTTATAGAGCAGGTTTGAAACACTCTGTGCACTACCTGGAAGTGGACATTTGGAGCGCTTTGAGGCCTATGTTGAAAAAGGAAATATCTTCCCATAGAAACTAGACAGAAGCATTCTCAGAAACTTGTTTGTGATGTGTGTATTCAACTAACAGAGATGAACCTTTCTTTTTACAGAGCAGTTTTGAAACACTCTTTTTGTGGAATCTGAAAGTGGATATTTGGATAGCTTTGAGGATTTCGTTGGAAACGGTATTACATATAAAATCTAGGGAGAAGCATTCTCAGGAACTTCTTTGTGATGTTTGCATTCACGTCACAGAACTGAACATTCCCTTTCATAGAGCATGTTTGAAACACTCTTTCTGTAGTATCTGCAAACGGACATTTCAAGCGCTTTCAGGCCTATGGTAAGAAAGGAAATATATTCAAATAAAAACTAGACAGAAGCATTCTCAGAAACTTATTAGCGATGTGTGTCCTCAACTAACAGAGTTGAACCTTTGTTTTGATACAACATTTTGGAAACACTCTTTTTGTAGAATCTGCAAGTGGATATTTGGATAGCTTTGAAGGTTTCGTTGGAAACGGGAATATCTTCATATAAAATCAAGACAGAAGCATTCTCAGAAACTTCTCTGTGATGTTTGCATTCAACTCATAGAGTTGAACACTTCCCTTCATAGAGCAGGTTTGAAACACTCTTTTTGTAATATTTGGAAGTGGACATTTGCAGCGCTTTGAGGCCTATGTTGAAAAAGGAAATATCTTCTCCTAAAAAGCAGACAGAAGCATTCTCAGAAACTTCCTTGTGATGTGTGTACTCAAGTAACAGAGTTGAACCTTACTTTTGACAGAGCCGTTTTGAAACAGTCTTTTTGTAGAATCTGGAAGTAGATATTTGGACACCTTTGAGGATTTCTTTGGAAACGGGATATCTTCATATAAAATCTAGACAGAAGCATTCTCAGAAACTTCTTTGTGCTGTATGTCCTCAATTAACAGAGTTGAACCTTTGTGTGGATACAGCATTTTGGAAACATTCCTTTAGTAGGATATGCAAGTTGATATTTAGATAGCTAGGAAGATTTCCTTGGAAATGGGAATATCTTCATATAAAATCTAGACGGAAGCATTCTCAGAAAGTGCTTTGTGATGTTTGCATTCAAGTCACAGAGTTGAATATTCCCTTTTATAGAGCAGGTTTGAAACACTCTTTCTGCACTACCTGGAAGTGGACATTTGGAGCGCTTTGAGGCCTATGTTTGAAAAGGAAATATCTTCCCATAAAAACTAGACAGAAGCATTCTCAGAAACTTGTTTGTGATGTGTGTATTCAACTAACAGAGATGAACCTTTCTTTTTACAGAGCAGTTTTGAAACACTCTTTTTGTGGAATCTGAAAGTGGATATTTGGATAGCTTTGAGGATTTCGTTGGAAACGGGATTACATATAAAATCTAGAGAGAAGCATTCTCAGGAACTTCTTTGTGATGTTTGCATTCAAGTCACAGAACTGAACATTCCCTTTCATAGAGCATGTTTGAAACACTCTTTCTGTAGTATCTGCAAGCGGACGTTTCAAGCGCTTTCAGGCCTATGGTGAGAAAGGAAATACCTTCAAGTAAAAACTAGACAGAAGCATTCTCAGAAACTTATTTGCCATGTGTGTTCTCAACTAACAGAGTTGAACCTTTGTTTTGATACGGCATTTTGGAAACACTCTTTTTGTAGAATCTGCAGGTGGATATTCGGATAGCTTTGAAGGTTTCGTTGGAAACGGGAATATCTTCATATAAAATCTAGACGGAAGCATTCTCAGAAACTGCTTTGTGATGTTTTCATTCAAGTCACAGAGTAGAATGTTCCCTTTTATATACCAGGTTTGAGACACTCTTTCTGCACTATCTGGAAGTGGACATTTGGAGCGCTTTGAGGCCTATGATGAAAAAGGAAATATCTTCCCATAAAAACTAGACAGAAGCATTCTCAGAAACTTGTTTGTGATGTGTGTATTCAACTAACAGAGATGAACCTTTCTTTTTACAGAGCAGTTTTGAAACACTCTTTTTGTGGAATCTGAAAGTGGATATTTGGATAGCTTTGAGGATTTCGTTGGAAACGGGATTACGTATAAAATCTAGAGAGAAGCATTCTCAGGAACTTCTTTGTGATGTTTGCATTCACGTCACAGAACTGAACATTCCCTTTCATAGAGCATGTTTGAAACACTCTTTCTGTAGTATCTGCAAACGGACATTTCAAGCGCTTTCAGGCCTATGGTAAGAAAGGAAATATCTTCAAATAAAAACTAGACAGAAGCATTCTCAGAAACTTATTTGCGATGTGTGCCCTCAACTAACAGAGTTGAACCTTTGTTTTGATACAACATTTTGGAAACACTCTTTTTGTAGAATCTGCAAGTGGATATTTGGATAGCTTTGAAGGTTTCGTTGGAAACGGGAATATCTTCATATAAAATCAAGACAGAAACATTCTCAGAAACTTCTCTGTGATGTTTGCATTCAACTCATAGAGTTGAACACTTCCCTTCATAGAGCAGGTTTGAAACACTCTTTTTGTAATATTTGGAAGTGGACATTTGCAGCGCTTTGAGGCCTATGTTGAAAAAGGAAATATCTTCTCCTAAAAACCAGACAGAAGCATTCTCAGAAACTTCCTTGTGATGTGTGTACTCAAGTAACAGAGTTGAACCTTACTTTTGACAGAGCCGTTTTGAAACAGTCTTTTTGTAGAATCTGGAAGTAGATATTTGGATACTTTTGAGGATTTCTTTGGAAACGGGATATCTTCATATAAAATCTAGACAGAAGCATTCTCAGAAACTTCTTTGTGCTGTATGTCCTCAATTAACAGAGTTGAACCTTTGTGTGGATACAGCATTTTGGAAACATTCCTTTAGTAGAATCTGCAAGTTGATATTTAGATAGCTAGGAAGATTTCCTTGGAAATGGGAATATCTTCATATAAAATCTAGACGGAAGCATTCTCAGAAAGTGCTTTGTGATGTTTGCATTCAAGTCACAGAGTTGAATATTCCCTTTTATAGAGCAGGTTTGAAACACTCTTTCTGCACTACCTGGAAGTGGACATTTGGAGCGCTTTGAGGCCTATGTTGAAAAAGGAAATATCTTCCCATAAAAACTAGACAGAAGCATTCTCAGAAACTTGTTTGTGATGTGTGTATTCAACTAACAGAGATGAACCTTTCTTTTTACAGAGCAGTTTTGAAACACTCTTTTTGTGGAATCTGAAAGTGGATATTTGGATAGCTTTGAGGATTTCGTTGGAAACGGGATTACATATAAAATCTAGAGAGAAGCATTCTCAGGAACTTCTTTGTGATGTTTGCATTCAAGTCACAGAACTGAACATTCCCTTTCATAGAGCATGTTTGAAACACTCTTTCTGTAGTATCTGCAAGCGGACGTTTCAAGCGCTTTCAGGCCTATGGTGAGAAAGGAAATATCTTCAAGTAAAAACTAGACAGAAGCATTCTCAGAAACTTATTTGCCATGTGTGTTCTCAACTAACAGAGTTGAACCTTTGTTTTGATACGGCATTTTGGAAACACTCTTTTTGTAGAATCTGCAGGTGGATATTCGGATAGCTTTGAAGGTTTCGTTGGAAACGGGAATATCTTCATATAAAATCTAGACGGAAGCATTCTCAGAAACTGCTTTGTGATGTTTTCATTCAAGTCACAGAGTAGAATGTTCCCTTTTATATACCAGGTTTGAGACACTCTTTCTGCACTATCTGGAAGTGGACATTTGGAGCGCTTTGAGGCCTATGATGAAAAAGGAAATATCTTCCCATAAAAACTAGACAGAAGCATTCTCAGAAACTTGTTTGTGATGTGTGTATTCAACTAACAGAGATGAACCTTTCTTTTTACAGAGCAGTTTTGAAACAGTCTTTTTGTGGAATCTGGAAGTAGATATTTGGATACCTTTGAGGATTTCTTTGGAAACGGGATATCTTCATATAAAATCTAGACAGAAGCATTCTCAGAAACTTCTTTGTGCTGTATGTCCTCAATTAACAGAGTTGAACCTTTGTGTGGATACGGCATTTTGGAAACATTCCTTTAGTAGAATCTGCAAGTTGATATTTAGATAGCTAGGAAGATTTCCTTGGAAACGGGAATATCTTCATATAAAATCTAGACGGAAGCATTCTCAGAAAGTGCTTTGTGATGTTTGCATTCAAGTCACAGAGTTGAATATTCCCTTTTATAGAGCAGGTTTGAAACACTCTTTCTGCACTACCTGGAAGTGGACATTTGGAGCGCTTTGAGGCCTATGTTGAAGAAGGAAATATCTTCCCATAAAAACTAGACAGAAGCATTCTCAGAAACTTGTTTGTGATGTGTGTATTCAACTAACAGAGATGAACCTTTCTTTTTACAGAGCAGTTTTGAAACACTCTTTTTGTGGAATCTGAAAGTGGATATTTGGATAGCTTTGAGGATTTCGTTGGAAACGGGATTACATATAAAATCTAGAGAGAAGCATTCTCAGGAACTTCTTTGTGATGTTTGCATTCAAGTCACAGAACTGAACATTCCCTTTCATAGAGCATGTTTGAAACACTCTTTCTGTAGTATCTGCAAGCGGACGTTTCAAGCGCTTTCAGGCCTATGGTGAGAAAGGAAATATCTTCAAGTAAAAACTAGACAGAAGCATTCTCAGAAACTTATTTGCCATGTGTGTTCTCAACTAACAGAGTTGAACCTTTGTTTTGATACGGCATTTTGGAAACACTCTTTTTGTAGAATCTGCAGGTGGATATTCGGATAGCTTTGAAGGTTTCGTTGGAAACGGGAATATCTTCATATAAAATCTAGACGGAAGCATTCTCAGAAACTGCTTTGTGATGTTTTCATTCAAGTCACAGAGTAGAATGTTCCCTTTTATATACCAGGTTTGAGACACTCTTTCTGCACTATCTGGAAGTGGACATTTGGAGCGCTTTGAGGCCTATGATGAAAAAGGAAATATCTTCCCATAAAAACTAGACAGAAGCATTCTCAGAAACTTGTTTGTGATGTGTGTATTCAACTAACAGAGATGAACCTTTCTTTTTACAGAGCAGTTTTGAAACACTCTTTTTGTGGAATCTGAAAGTGGATATTTGGATAGCTTTGAGGATTTCGTTGGAAACGGGATTACATATAAAATCTAGAGAGAAGCATTCTCAGGAACTTCTTTGTGATGTTTGCATTCACGTCACAGAACTGAACATTCCCTTTCATAGAGCATGTTTGAAACACTCTTTCTGTAGTATCTGCAAACGGACATTTCAAGCGCTTTCAGGCCTATGGTAAGAAAGGAAATATCTTCAAATAAAAACTAGACAGAAGCATTCTCAGAAACTTATTTGCGATGTGTGTCCTCAACTAACAGAGTTGAACCTTTGTTTTGATACAACATTTTGGAAACACTCTTTTTGTAGAATCTGCAAGTGGATATTTGGATAGCTTTGAAGGTTTCGTTGGAAACGGGAATATCTTCATATAAAATCAAGACAGAAGCATTCTCAGAAACTTCTCTGTGATGTTTGCATTCAACTCATAGAGTTGAACACTTCCCTTCATAGAGCAGGTTTGAAACATTCTTTTTGTAGTATTTGGAAGTGGACATTTGCAGCTCTTTGAGGCCTATGTTGAAAAAGGAAATATCTTCTCCTAAAAACCAGACAGAAGCATTCTCAGAAACTTCCTTGTGATGTGTGTACTCAAGTAACACAGTTGAACCTTACTTTTGACAGAGCCGTTTTGAAACAGTCTTTTTGTAGAATCTGGAAGTAGATATTTGGATACCTTTGAGGATTTCTTTGGAAACGGGATATCTTCATATAAAATCTAGACAGAAGCATTCTCAGAAACTTCTTTGTGCTGTATGTCCTCAATTAACAGAGTTGAACCTTTGTGTGGATACAGCATTTTGGAAACATTCCTTTAGTAGAATCTGCATGTTGATATTTAGATAGCTAGGAAGATTTCCTTGGAAACGGGAATATCTTCATATAAAATCTAGAAGGAAGCATTCTCAGAAAGTGCTTTGTGATGTTTGCATTCAAGTCACAGAGTTGAATATTCCCTTTTATAGAGCATGTTTGAAACACTCTTTCTGCACTACCTGGAAGTGGACATTAGGAGCGCTTTGAGGCCTATGTTGAAAAAGGAAATATCTTCCCATAAAAACTAGACAGAAGCATGCTCAGAAACTTGTTTGTGATGTGTGTATTCAACTAACAGAGATGAACCTTTCTTTTTACAGAGCAGTTTTGAAACACTCTTTTTGTGGAATCTGAAAGTGGATATGTGGATAGCTTTGAGGATTTCGTTGGAAACGGGATTACATATAAAATCTAGAGAGAAGCATTCTCAGGAACTTCTTTGTGATGTTTGCATTCAAGACACAAAACTGAACATTCCCTTTCATAGAGCATGTTTGAAACACTCTTTCTGTAGTATCTGCAAGCGGACGTTTCAAGCGCTTTCAGGCCTATGGTGAGAAAGGAAATATCTTCAAGTAAAAACTAGACAGAAGCATTCTCAGAAACTTATTTGCCATGTGTGTTCTCAACTAACAGAGTTGAACCTTTGTTTTGATACGGCATTTTGGAAACACTCTTTTTGTAGAATCTGCAGGTGGATATTCGGATAGCTTTGAAGGTTTCGTTGGAAACGGGAATATCTTCATATAAAATCTAGACGGAAGCATTCTCAGAAACTGCTTTGTGATGTTTTCATTCAAGTCACAGAGTAGAATGTTCCCTTTTATATACCAGGTTTGAGACACTCTTTCTGCACTATCTGGAAGTGGACATTTGGAGCGCTTTGAGGCCTATGTTGAAAAAGGAAATATCTTCCCATAAAAACTAGACAGAAGCATTCTCAGAAACTTGTTTGTGATGTGTGTATTCAACTAACAGAGATGAACCTTTCTTTTTACAGAGCAGTTTTGAAACACTCTTTTTGTGGAATCTGAAAGTGGATATTTGGATAGCTTTGAGGATTTCGTTGGAAACGGGATTACATATAAGATCTAGAGAGAAGCATTCCAGGAACTTCTTTGTGATGTTTGCATTCAAGTCACAGAACTGAACATTCCCTTTCATAGAGCATGTTTGAAACACTCTTTCTGTAGTATCTGCAAGCGGACGTTTCAAGCGCTTTCAGGCCTATGGTGAGAAAGGAAATACCTTCAAGTAAAAACTAGACAGAAGCATTCTCAGAAACTTATTTGCCATGTGTGTTCTCAACTAACAGAGTTGAACCTTTGTTTTGATACGGCATTTTGGAAACACTCTTTTTGTAGAATCTGCAGGTGGATATTCGCATAGCTTTGAAGGTTTCGTTGGAAACGGGAATATCTTCATATAAAATCTAGACGGAAGCATTCTCAGAAACTGCTTTGTGATGTTTTCATTCAAGTCACAGAGTAGAATGTTCCCTTTTATATACCAGGTTTGAGACACTCTTTCTGCACTATCTGGAAGTGGACATTAGGAGCGCTTTGAGGCCTATGATGAAAAAGGAAATATCTTCCCATAAAAACTAGACAGAAGCATTCTCAGAAACTTGTTTGTGATGTGTGTATTCAACTAACAGAGATGAACCTTCCTTTTTACAGAGCAGTTTTGAAACACTCTTTTTGTGGAATCTGAAAGTGGATATTTGGATAGCTTTGAGGATTTCGTTGGAAACGGGATTACATATAAAATCTAGAGAGAAGCATTCTCAGGAACTTCTTTGTGATGTTTGCATTCACGTCACAGAACTGAACATTCCCTTTCATAGAGCATGTTTGAAACACTCTTTCTGTAGTATCTGCAAACGGACATTTCAAGCGCTTTCAGGCCTATGGTAAGAAAGGAAATATCTTCAAATAAAAACTAGACAGAAGCATTCTCAGAAACTTATTTGCGATGTGTGTCCTCAACTAACAGAGTTGAACCTTTGTTTTGATACAACATTTTGGAAACACTCTTTTTGTAGAATCTGCAAGTGGATATTTGGATAGCTTTGAAGGTCTCGTTGGAAACGGGAATATCTTCATATAAAATCAAGACAGAAGCATTCTCAGAAACTTCTCTGTGATGTTTGCATTCAACTCATAGAGTTGAACACTTCCCTTCATAGAGCAGGTTTGAAACACACTTTTTGTAATATTTGGAAGTGGACATTTGCAGCGCTTTGAGGCCTATGTTGAAAAAGGAAATATCTTCTCCTAAAAACCAGACAGAAGCATTCTCAGAAACTTCCTTGTGATGTGTGTACTCAAGTAACAGAGTTGAACCTTCCTTTTGACAGAGCCGTTTTGAAACAGTCTTTTTGTAGAATCTGGAAGTAGATATTTGGATACATTTGAGGATTTCTTTGGAAACGGGATATCTTCATATAAAATCTAGACAGAAGCATTCTCAGAAACTTCTTTGTGCTGTATGTCCTCAATTAACAGAGTTGAACCTTTGTGTGGATACAGCATTTTGGAAACATTCCTTTAGTAGAATCTGCAAGTTGATATTTAGATAGCTAGGAAGATTTCCTTGGAAACGGGAATATCTTCATATACAATCTAGACGGAAGCATTCTCAGAAACTGCTTTGTGATGTTTGCATTCAAGTCACAGAGTAGAATGTTCCCTTTTATAGAGCAGGTTAGAAACACTCTGTGCACTACCTGGAAGTGGACATTTGGAGCGCTTTGAGGCCTATGTTGAAAAAGGAAATATCTTCCCATAGAAACTAGACAGAAGCATTCTCAGAAACTTGTTTGTGATGTGTGTATTCAACTAACAGAGATGAACCTTTCTTTTTACAGAGCAGTTTTGAAACACTCTTTTTGTGGAATCTGAAAGTGGATATTTGGATAGCTTTGAGGATTTCGTTGGAAACGGGATTACATATAAAATCTAGGGAGAAGCATTCTCAGGAACTTCTTTGTGATGTTTGCATTCAAGTCACAGAACTGAACGTTCCCTTTCATAGAGCAGGTTTGAAACACTCTTTCTGTAGTATCTGCAAGCGGACGTTTCAAGCGCTTTCAGGCCTGTGGTGAAAAAGGAAATATCTTCAAATAAAAACTAGACAGAGGCATTCTCAGAAACTTATTTGCGATGTGTGTTCTCAACTAATAGAGTTGAACCTTTGTTTTGATACAGCATTTTGGAAACACTCTTTTTGTAGGATCTGCAGGTGGATATTTGGATAGCTTTGAAGGTTTCGTTGGAAACGGGAATATCTTCATATAAAATCAAGACAGAAGCATTCTCAGAAACTTCTCTGTGATGTTTGCATTCAACTCATAGAGGTGAACACTTCCCTTCATAGAGCAGGTTTGAAACACTCTTTTTGTAATATTTGGAAGTGGACATTTGCAGCGCTTTGAGGCCTATGTTGAAAAAGGAAATATCTTCTCATAAAAACCAGACAGAAGCATTCTCAGAAACTTCCTTGTGATGTGTGTACTCAAGTAACAGAGTTGAACCTTCCTTTTGACAGAGCAGTTTTGAAGCACTCTTTTTGTAGAATCTGCAAGTGGATATTTTGATACCTTTGAGGATTTCGTTGGACACGGGATATCTTCATATAAAATCTAGACAGAAGCATTCTCAGAAACTTCTTTGTGCTGTATGTCCTCAATTAACAGAGTTGAACCTTTGTGTGGATACAGCATTTTGGAAACATTCCTTTAGTAGAATCTGCAAGTTGATATTTAGATAGCTAGGAAGATTTCCTTGGAAACGGGAATATCTTCATATAAAATCTAGACGGAAGCATTCTCAGAAAAGTGCTTTGTGATGTTTGCATTCAAGTCACAGAGTTGAATATTCCCTTTTATAGAGC
The DNA here is from genome assembly GCF_000001405.40 of Homo sapiens. NCBI lineage: Eukaryota > Metazoa > Chordata > Mammalia > Primates > Hominidae > Homo > Homo sapiens. The sequence continues at coordinate 60,591,091 of NC_000009.12, read as the reverse complement.
AGGTTTGAAACACTCTTTCTGCACTACCTGGAAGTGGACATTTGGAGCGCTTTGAGGCCTATGTTGAAAAAGGAAATATCTTCCCATAAAAACTAGACAGAAGCATTCTCAGAAACTTGTTTGTGATGTGTGTATTCAACTAACAGAGATGAACCTTTCTTTTTACAGAGCAGTTTTGAAACACTCTTTTTGTGGAATCTGAAAGTGGATATTTGGATAGCTTTGAGGATTTCGTTGGAAACGGGATTACATATAAAATCTAGAGAGAAGCATTCTCAGGCACTTCTTTGTGATGTTTGCATTCAAGTCACAGAACTGAACATTCCCTTTCATAGAGCATGTTTGAAACACTCTTTCTGTAGTATCTGCAAGCGGACGTTTCAAGCGCTTTCAGGCCTATGGTGAGAAAGGGAATATCTTCAAGTAAAAACTAGACAGAAGCATTCTCAGAAACTTATTTGCCATGTGTGTCCTCAACTAACAGAGTTGAACCTTTGTTTGGATACGGCATTTTGGAAACACTCTTTTTGTAGAATCTGCAGGTGGATATTCGGATAGCTTTGAAGGTTTCGTTGGAAACGGGAATATCTTCATAGAAAATCTAGACGGAAGCATTCTCAGAAACTGCTTTGTGATGTTTTCATTGAAGTCACAGAGTAGAATGTTCCCTTTTATATACCAGGTTTGAGACACTCTTTCTGCACTATCTGGAAGTGGACATTTGGAGCGCTTTGAGGCCTATGATGAAAAAGGAAATATCTTCCCATAAAAACTAGACAGAAGCATTCTCAGAAACTTGTTTGTGATGTGTGTATTCAACTAACAGAGATGAACCTTTCTTTTTACAGACCAGTTTTGAAACAGTCTTTTTGTGGAATCTGGAAGTAGATATTTGGATACCTTTGAGGATTTCTTTGGAAACGGGATATCTTCATATAAAATCTAGACAGAAGCATTCTCAGAAACTTCTTTGTGCTGTATGTCCTCAATTAACAGAGTTGAACCTTTGTGTGGATACGGCATTTTGGAAACATTCCTTTAGTAGAATCTGCAAGTTGATATTTAGATAGCTAGGAAGATTTCCTTGGAAACGGGAATATCTTCATATAAAATCTTGACGGAAGCATTCTCAGAAACTGATTTGTGATGTCTTCATTCAAGTCACAGAGTAGAATGTTCCCTATTATAGAGCAGGTTTGAAACACTCTGTGCACTACCTGGAAGTGGACATTTGGAGCGCTTTGAGGCCTATGTTGAAAAAGGAAATATCTTCCCATAGAAACTAGACAGAAGTTATCTCAGAAACTTGTTTGTGATGTGTGTATTCAACTAACAGAGATGAACCTTTCTTTTTACAGAGCAGTTTCGAAACACTCTTTTTGTGGAATCTGAAAGTGGATATTTGGATAGCTTTGAGGATTTCGTTGGAAACGGGATTACATATAAAATCTAGGGAGAAGCATTCTCAGGAACTTCTTTGTGATGTTTGCATTCAAGTCACAAAACTGAACATTCCCTTTCATAGAGTAGGATTGAAACACTCTTTCTGTAGTATCTGCAAGCGGACGTTTCAAGCGCTTTCAGGCCTGTGGTGAAAAAGGAAATATCTTCAAATAAAAACTAGACAGAAGCATTCTCAGAAACTTATTTGCGATGTGTGTTCTCAACTAACAGAGTTGAACCTTTGTTTTGATACAGCATTTTGGAAACACTCTTTTTGTAGGATCTGCATGTGGATATTTGGATAGCTTTGAAGGTTTCGTTGGAAACGGGAATATCTTCATATAAAATCAAGACAGAAGCATTCTCAGAAACTTCTCTGTGATGTTTGCATTCAACTCATAGAGTTGAACACTTCCCTTCATAGAGCAGGTTTGAAACACTCTTTTTGTAATATTTGGAAGTGGACATTTACAGCGCTTTGAGGCCTATGTTGAAAAAGGAAATATCTTCCCATAAAAACTAGACAGAAGCATTCTCAGAAACTTGTTTGTGATGTGTGTATTCAACTAACAGAGATGAACCTTTCTTTTTACAGAGCAGTTTTGAAACACTCTTTTTGTGGAATCTGAAAGTGGATATTTGGATAGCTTTGAGGATTTCGTTGGAAACGGGATTACATAAAAAATCTAGGGAGAAGCATTCTCAGGAACTTCTTTGTGATGTTTGCATTCAAGTCACAGAACTGAACATTCCGTTTCATAGAGCAGGTTTGAAACACTCTTTCTGTAGTATCTGCAAGCGGACGTTTCAAGCGCTTTCAGGCCTATGGTGAGAAAGGAAATATCTTCAAATAAAAACTAGACAGAAGCATTCTCAGAAACTTATTTGCGATGTGTGTTCTCAACTAACAGAGTTGAACCTTTGTTTTGATACAGCATTTTGGAAACACTCTTTTTGTAGGATCTGCAGGTGGATATTTGGATAGCTTTGAAGGTTTCGTTGGAAACGGGAATATCTTCATATAAAATCAAGACAGAAGCATTCTCAGAAACTTCTCTGTGATGTTTGCATTCAACTCATAGAGTTGAACACTTCCCTTCATAGAGCAGGTTTGAAACACTCTTTTTGTAATATTTGTAAGTGGACATTTGCAGCGCTTTGAGGCCTATGTTGGAAAAGGAAATATCTTCTCCTAAAAACCAGACAGAAGCATTCTCAGAAAGTTCCTTGTGATGTGTGTACTCAAGTAACAGAGTTGAACCTTACTTTTGACAGAGCCGTTTTGAAAAAGTCTTTTTGTAGAATCTGGAAGTAGATATTTGGATACCTTTGAGGATTTCTTTGGAAACGGGATATCTTCATATAAAATCTAGACAGAAGCATTCTCAGAAACTTCTTTGTGCTGTATGTCCTCAATTAACAGAGTTGAACCTTTGTGTGGATACAGCATTTTGGAAACATTCCTTTAGTAGAATCTGCAAGTTGATATTTAGATAGCTAGGAAGATTTCCTTGGAAACGGGAATATCTTCATATAAAATCTAGACGGAAGCATTCTCAGAAAGTGCTTTGTGATGTTTGCATTCAGGTCACAGAGTTGAATATTCCCTTTTATAGAGCAGGTTTGAAACACTCTTTCTGCACTACCTGGAAGTGGACATTTGGAGCGCTTTGAGGCCTATGTTGAAAAAGGGAATATCTTCCCATAAAAACTAGACAGAAGCATTCTCAGAAACTTGTTTGTGATGTGTGTATTCAACTAACAGAGATGAACCTTTCTTTTTACAGAGCAGTTTTGAAACACTCTTTTTGTGGAATCTGAAAGTGGATATTTGGATAGCTTTGAGGATTTCGTTGGAAACGGGATTACATATAAAATCTAGAGAGAAGCATTCTCAGGAACTTCTTTGTGATGTTTGCATTCAAGTCACAGAACTGAACATTCCCTTTCATAGAGCATGTTTGAATCACTCTTTCTGTAGTATCTGCAAGCGGACGTTTCAAGCGCTTTCAGGCCTATGGTGAGAAAGGAAATATCTTCAAGTAAAAACTAGACAGAAGCATTCTCAGAAACTTATTTGCCATGTGTGTTCTCAACTAACAGAGTTGAACTTTTGTTTGGATACGGCATTTTGGAAACACTCTTTTTGTAGAATCTCCAGGTGGATATTCGGATAGCTTTGAAGGTTTCGTTGGAAACGGGAATATCTTCATATAAAATCTAGACGGAAGCATTCTCAGAAACTGCTTTGTGATGTTTTCATTGAAGTCACAGAGTAGAATGTTCCCTTTTATATACCAGGTTTGAGACACTCTTTCTGCACTATCTGGAAGTGGACATTTGGAGCGCTTTGAGGCCTATGATGAAAAAGGAAATATCTTCCCATAAAAACTAGACAGAAGCAGTCTCAGAAACTTGTTTGTGATGTGTGTATTCAACTAACAGAGATGAACCTTTCTTTTTACAGAGCAGTTTTGAAACAGTCTTTTTGTGGAATCTGGAAGTAGATATTTGGATACCTTTGAGGATTTCTTTGGAAACGGGATATCTTCATATAAAATCTAGACAGAAGCATTCTCAGAAACTTCTTTGTGCTGTATGACCTCAATTAACAGAGTTGAACCTTTGTGTGGATACGGCATTTTGGAAACATTCCTTTAGTAGAATCTGCAAGTTGATATTTAGATAGCTAGGAAGAATTCCTTGGAAACGGGAATATCTTCATATAAAATCTAGACGGAAGCATTCTCAGAAAGTGCTTTGTGATGTTTGCATTCAAGTCACAGAGTTCAATATTCCCTTTTATAGAGCAGGTTTGAAACACTCTTTCTGCACTACCTGGAAGTGGACATTTGGAGCGCTTTGAGGCCTATGTTGAAAAAGGAAATATCTTCCCATAAAAACTAGACAGAAGCATTCTCAGAAACTTGTTTGTGATGTGTGTATTCAACTAACAGAGATGAACCTTTCTTTTTACAGAGCAGTTTTGAAACACTCTTTTTGTGGAATCTGAAAGTGGATATTTGGATAGCTTTGAGGATTTCGTTGGAAACGGGATTACATATAAAATCTAGAGAGAAGCATTCTCAGGAACTTCTTTGTGATGTTTACATGCAAGTCACAGAACTGAACATTCCCTTTCATAGAGCATGTTTGAAACACTCTTTCTGTAGTATCTGCAAGCGGACGTTTCAAGCGCTTTCAGGCCTATGGTGAGAAAGGAAATATCTTCAAGTAAAAACTAGACAGAAGCATTCTCAGAAACTTATTTGCGATGTGTGTCCTCAACTAACAGAGTTGAACCTTTGTTTTGATACAACATTTTGGAAACACTCTTTTTGTAGAATCTGCAAGTGGTTATTTGGATAGCTTTGAAGGTTTCGTTGGAAACGGGAATATCTTCATATAAAATCAAGACAGAAGCATTCTCAGAAACTTCTCTGTGATGTTTGCATTCAACTCATAGAGTTGAACACTTCCCTTCATAGAGCAGGTTTGAAACACTCTTTTTGTAATATTTGGAAGTGGACATTTGCAGCGCTTTGAGGCCTATGTTGAAAAAGGAAATATCTTCTCCTAAAAACCAGACAGAAGCATTCTCAGAAACTTCCTTGTGATGTGTGTACTCAAGTAACAGAGTTGAACCTTACTTTTGACAGAGCCGTTTTGAAACAGTCTTTTTGTAGAATCTGGAAGTAGATATTTGGATACCTTTGAGGATTTCTTTGGAAACGGGATATCTTCATATAAAATCTAGACAGAAGCATTCTCAGAAACTTCTTTGTGCTGTATGTCCTCAATTAACAGAGTTGAACCTTTGTGTGGATACAGCATTTTGGAAACATTCCTTTAGTAGAATCTGCAAGTTGATATTTAGATAGCTAGGAAGATTTCCTTGGAAATGGGAATATCTTCATATAAAATCTAGACGGAAGCATTCTCAGAAAGTGCTTTGTGATGTTTGCATTCAAGTCACAGAGTTGAATATTCCCTTTTATAGAGCAGGTTTGAAACACTCTTTCTGCACTACCTGGAAGTGGACATTTGGAGCGCTTTGAGGCCTATGTTTAAAAAGGAAATATCTTCCCATAAAAACTAGACAGAAGCATTCTCAGAAACTTGTTTGTGATGTGTGTATTCAACTAACAGAGATGAACCTTTCTTTTTACAGAGCAGTTTTGAAACACTCTTTTTGTGGAATCTGAAAGTGGATATTTGGATAGCTTTGAGGATTTCGTTGGAAACGGGATTACATATAAAATCTAGAGAGAAGCATTCTCAGGAACTTCTTTGTGATGTTTGCATTCAAGTCACAGAACTGAACATTCCCTTTCATAGAGCATGTTTGAAACACTCTTTCTGTAGTATCTGCAAGCGGACGTTTCAAGCGCTTTCAGGCCTATGGTGAGAAAGGAAATATCTTCAAGTAAAAACTAGACAGAAGCATTCTCAGAAACTTATTTGCCATGTGTGTTCTCAACTAACAGAGTTGAACCTTTGTTTGGATACGGCATTTTGGAAACACTCTTTTTGTAGAATCTGCAGGTGGATATTCGGATAGCTTTGAAGGTTTCGTTGGAAACGGGAATATCTTCATATAAAATCTAGACGGAAGCATTCTCAGAAACTGCTTTGTGATGTTTTCATTCAAGTCACAGAGTAGAATGTTCCCTTTTATATACCAGGTTTGAGACACTCTTTCTGCACTATCTGGAAGTGGACATTTGGAGCGCTTTGAGGCCTATGATGAAAAAGGAAATATCTTCCCATAAAAACTAGACAGAAGCATTCTCAGAAACTTGTTTGTGATGTGTGTATTCAACTAACAGAGATGAACCTTTCTTTTTACAGAGCAGTTTTGAAACACTCTTTTTGTGGAATCTGAAAGTGGATATTTGGATAGCTTTGAGGATTTCGTTGGAAACGGGATTACATTTAAGATCTAGAGAGAAGCATTCTCAGGAACTTCTTTGTGATGTTTGCATTCAAGTCACAGAACTGAACATTCCCTTTCATAGAGCATGTTTGAAACACTCTTTCTGTAGTATCTGCAAACGGACATTTCAAGCGCTTTCAGGCCTATGGTAAGAAAGGAAATATCTTCAAATAAAAACTAGACAGAAGCATTCTCAGAAACTTATTTGCGATGTGTGTCCTCAACTAACAGAGTTGAACCTTTGTTTTGATACAACATTTTGGAAACACTCTTTTTGTAGAATCTGCAAGTGGATATTTGGATAGCTTTGAAGGTTTCGTTGGAAACGGGAATATCTTCATATAAAATCAAGACAGAAGCATTCTCAGAAACTTCTCTGTGATGTTTGCATTCAACTCATAGAGTTGAACACTTCCCTTCATAGAGCAGGTTTGAAACACTCTTTTTGTAATATTTGGAAGTGGACATTTGCAGCGCTTTGAGGCCTATGTTGAAAAAGGAAATATCTTCTCCTAAAAACCAGACAGAAGCATTCTCAGAAACTTCCTTGTGATGTGTGTACTCAAGTAACAGAGTTGAACCTTCCTTTTGACAGAGCCGTTTTGAAACAGTCTTTTTGTAGAATCTGGAAGTAGATATTTGGATACCTTTGAGGATTTCTTTGGAAACGGGATATCTTCATATAAAATCTAGACAGAAGCATTCTCAGAAACTTCTTTGTGCTGTATGTCCTCAATTAACAGAGTTGAACCTTTGTGTGGATACAGCATTTTGGAAACATACCTTTAGTAGAATCTGCAAGTTGATATTTAGATAGCTAGGAAGATTTCCTTGGAAACGGGAATATCTTCATATAAAATCTAGACGGAAGCATTCTCAGAAAGTGCTTTGTGATGTTTGCATTCAAGTCACAGAGTTGAATATTCCCTTTTATAGAGCAGGTTTGAAACACTCTTTCTGCACTACCGGGAAGTGGACATTTGGAGCGCTTTGAGGCCTATGTTGAAAAAGGAAATATCTTCCCATAAAAACTAGACAGAAGCATTCTCAGAAACTTGTTTGTGATGTGTGTATTCAACTAACAGAGATGAACCTTTCTTTTTACAGAGCAGTTTTGAAACACTCTTTTTGTGGAATCTGAAAGTGGATATTTGGATAGCTTTGAGGATTTCGTTGGAAACGGGATTACATATAAAATCTAGAGAGAAGCATTCTCAGGAACTTCTTTGTGATGTTTGCATTCAAGTCACAGAACTGAACATTCCCTTTCATAGAGCATGTTTGAATCACTCTTTCTGTAGTATCTGCAAGCGGACGTTTCAAGCGCTTTCAGGCCTATGGTGAGAAAGGAAATATCTTCAAGTAAAAACTAGACAGAAGCATTCTCAGAAACTTATTTGCCATGTGTGTTCTCAACTAACAGAGTTGAACTTTTGTTTGGATACGGCATTTTGGAAACACTCTTTTTGTAGAATCTCCAGGTGGATATTCGGATAGCTTTGAAGGTTTCGTTGGAAACGGGAATATCTTCATATAAAATCTAGACGGAAGCATTCTCAGAAACTGCTTTGTGATGTTTTCATTCAAGTCACAGAGTAGAATGTTCCCTTTTATATACCAGGTTTGAGACACTCTTTCTGCACTATCTGGAAGTGGACATTTGGAGCGCTTTGAGGCCTATGATGAAAAAGGAAATATCTTCCCATAAAAACTAGACAGAAGCATTCTCAGAAACTTGTTTGTGATGTGTGTATTCAACTAACAGAGATGAACCTTTCTTTTTACAGAGCAGTTTTGAAACAGTCTTTTTGTGGAATCTGGAAGTAGATATTTGGATACCTTTGAGGATTTCTTTGGAAACGGGATATCTTCATATAAAATCTAGACAGAAGCATTCTCAGAAACTTCTTTGTGCTGTATGTCCTCAATTAACAGAGTTGAACCTTTGTGTGGATACGGCATTTTGGAAACATTCCTTTAGTAGAATCTGCAAGTTGATATTTAGATAGCTAGGAAGATTTCCTTGGAAATGGGAATATCTTCATATAAAATCTAGACGGAAGCATTCTCAGAAAGTGCTTTGTGATGTTTGCATTCAAGTCACAGAGTTCAATATTCCCTTTTATAGAGCAGGTTTGAAACACTCTTTCTGCACTACCTGGAAGTGGACATTTGGAGCGCTTTGAGGCCTATGTTGAAAAAGGAAATATCTTCCCATAAAAACTAGACAGAAGCATTCTCAGAAACTTGTTTGTGATGTGTGTATTCAACTAACAGAGATGAACCTTTCTTTTTACAGAGCAGTTTTGAAACACTCTTTTTGTGGAATCTGAAAGTGGATATTTGGATAGCTTTGAGGATTTCGTTGGAAACGGGATTACATATAAAATCTAGAGAGAAGCATTCTCAGGAACTTCTTTGTGATGTTTGCATTCAAGTCACAGAACTGAACATTCCCTTTCATAGAGCATGTTTGAAACACTCTTTCTGTAGTATCTGCAAGCGGACGTTTCAAGCGCTTTCAGGCCTATGGTGAGAAAGGAAATATCTTCAAGTAAAAACTAGACAGAAGCATTCTCAGAAACTTATTTGCCATGTGTGTTCTCAACTAACAGAGTTGAACCTTTGTTTTGATACGGCATTTTGGAAACACTCTTTTTGTAGAATCTGCAGGTGGATATTCGGATAGCTTTGAAGGTTTCGTTGGAAACGGGAATATCTTCATATAAAATCTAGACGGAAGCATTCTCAGAAACTGCTTTGTGATGTTTTCATTCAAGTCACAGAGTAGAATGTTCCCTTTTATATACCAGGTTTGAGACACTCTTTCTGCACTATCTGGAAGTGGACATTTGGAGCGCTTTGAGGCCTATGATGAAAAAGGAAATATCTTCCCATAAAAACTAGACAGAAGCATTCTCAGAAACTTGTTTGTGATGTGTGTATTCAACTAACAGAGATGAACCTTTCTTTTTACAGAGCAGTTTTGAAACACTCTTTTTGTTGAATCTGAAAGTGGATATGTGGATAGCTTTGAGGATTTCGTTGGAAACGGGATTACATATAAAATCTAGAGAGAAGCATTCTCAGGAACTTCTTTGTGATGTTTGCATTCAAGTCACAAAACTGAACATTCCCTTTCATAGAGCATGTTTGAAACACTCTTTCTGTAGTATCTGCAAGCGGACGTTTCAAGCGCTTTCAGGCCTATGGTGAGAAAGGAAATATCTTCAACTAAAAACTAGACAGAAGCATTCTCAGAAACTTATTTGCCATGTGTGTTCTCAACTAACAGAGTTGAACCTTTGTTTTGATACGGCATTTTGGAAACACTCTTTTTGTAGAATCTGCAGGTGGATATTCGGAGAGCTTTGAAGGTTTCGTTGGAAACGGGAATATCTTCATATAAAATCTAGACGGAAGCATTCTCAGAAACTGCTTTGTGATGTTTTCATTCAAGTCACAGAGTAGAATGTTCCCTTTTATATACCAGGTTTGAGACACTCTTTCTGCACTATCTGGAAGTGGACATTTGGAGCGCTTTGAGGCCTATGATGAAAAAGGAAATATCTTCCCATAAAAACTAGACAGAAGCATTCTCAGAAACTTCTTTGTGATGTGTGTATTCAACTAACAGAGATGAACCTTTCTTTTTACAGAACAGTTTTGAAACACTCTTTTTGTGGAATCTGAAAGTGGATGTTTGGATAGCTTTGAGGATTTCGTTGGAAACGGGATTACATATAAAATCTAGAGAGAAGCATTCTCAGGAACTTCTTTGTGATGTTTGCATTCACGTCACAGAACTGAACATTCCCTTTCATAGAGCATGTTTGAAACACTCTTTCTGTAGTATCTGCAAACGGACATTTCAAGCGCTTTCAGGCCTATGGTAAGAAAGGAAATATCTTCAAATAAAAACTAGACAGAAGCATTCTCAGAAACTTATTTGCGATGTGTGTCCTCAACTAACAGAGTTGAACCTTTGTTTTGATACAACATTTTGGAAACACTCTTTTTGTAGAATCTGCAAGTGGATATTTGGATAGCTTTGAAGGTCTCGTTGGAAACGGGAATATCTTCATATAAAATCAAGACAGAAGCATTCTCAGAAACTTCTCTGTGATGTTTGCATTCAACTCATAGAGTTGAACACTTCCCTTCATAGAGCAGGTTTGAAACACTCTTTTTGTAATATTTGGAAGTGGACATTTGCAGCGCTTTGAGGCCTATGTTGAAAAAGGAAATATCTTCTCCTAAAAAGCAGACAGAAGCATTCTCAGAAACTTCCTTGTGATGTGTGTACTCAAGTAACAGAGTTGAACCTTCCTTTGGACAGAGCAGTTTTGAAGCACTCTTTTTGTAGAATCTGCAAGTGGATATTTTGATACCTTTGAGGATTTCGTTGGACACGGGATATCTTCATATAAAATCTAGACAGAAGCATTCTCAGAAACTTTTTTGTGCTGTATGTCCTCAATTAACAGAGTTGAACCTTTGTGTGGATACAGCATTTTGGAAACATTCCTTTAGTAGAATCTGCAAGTTGATATTTAGATAGCTAGGAAGATTTCCTTGGAAACGGGAATATCTTCATATAAAATCTAGACGGAAGCATTCTCAGAAAGTGCTTTGTGATGTTTGCATTCAAGTCACAGAGTTGAATATTCCCTTTTATAGAGCAGGTTTGAAACACTCTTTCTGCACTACCTGGAAGTAGACATTTGGAGCGCTTTGAGGCCTATGTTGAAAAAGGAAATATCTTCCCATAAAAACTAGACAGAAGCATTCTCAGAAACTTGTTTGTGATGTGTGTATTCAACTAACAGAGATGAACCTTTCTTTTTACAGAGCAGTTTTGAAACACTCTTTTTGTGGAATCTGAAAGTGGATATTTGGATAGCTTTGAGGATTTCGTTGGAAACGGGATTACATATAAAACCTAGAGAGAAGCATTCTCAGGAACTTCTTTGTGATGTTGGCCTTCAAGTCACAGGACTGAACATTCCCTTTCATGGAGCAGGTTTGAAACACTCTTTCTGTAGTATCTGCAAGCGGACGTTTCAAGCGCTTTCAGGCCTATGGTGAGAAAGGAAATATCTTCAAGTAAAAACTAGACAGAAGCATTCTCAGAAACTTATTTGCCATGTGTGTTCTCAACTAACAGAGTTGAACCTTTGTTTTGATACGGCATTTTGGAAACACTCTTTTTGTAGAATCTGCAGGTGGATATTCGGATAGCTTTGAAGGTTTCGTTGGAAACGGGAATATCTTCATATAAAATCTAGACGGAAGCATTCTCAGAAACTGCTTTGTGATGTTTTCATTCAAGTCACAGAGTAGAATGTTCCCTGTTATATACCAGGTTTGAGACACTCTTTCTGCACTACCTGGAAGTGGACGTTTGGAGCGCTTTGAGGCCTATGTTGAAAAAGGAAATATCTTCCCATAAAAACTAGACAGAAGCATTCTCAGAAACTTGTTTGTGATGTGTGTATTCAACTAACAGAGATGAAACTTTCTTTTTACAGAGCAGTTTTGAAACACTCTTTTTGTGGAATCTGAAAGTGGATATTTGGATAGCTTTGAGGATTTCGTTGGAAACGGGATTACATATACAATCTAGGGAGAAGCATTCTCAGGAACTTCTTTGTGATGTTTGCATTCAAGTCACAGAACTGAACATTCCCTTTCATAGAGCAGCTTTGAAACACTCTTTCTGTAGTATCTGCAAGCGGACGTTTCAAGCGCTTTCAGGCCTATGGTGAGAAAGGAAATATCTTCAAATAAAAACTAGACAGAAGCATTCTCAGAAACTTATTTGCGATGTGTGTTCTCAACTAACAGAGTTGAACCTTTGTTTTGATACAACATTTTGGAAACACTCTTTTTGTAGAATCTGCAAGTGGATATTTGGATAGCTATGAAGGTTTCGTTGGAAACGGGAATATCTTCATATAAAATCAAGACAGAAGCATTCTCAGAAACTTCTCTGTGATGTTTGCATTCAACTCATAGAGTTGAACACTTTCTTTCATAGAGGTGGTTTGAAATACTCTTTTTGTAATATTTGGAAGTGGACATTGGCAGCGCTTTGAAGCCTATGGTGAAAAAAGAGATATCTTCCCCTAAAAACCAGACAGAAGCATTCTCAGAATCTTTCTTGTGATGTGTGTAGTCAAGTAACAGAGTTGAACCTTCCTTTTGACAGAGCAGTTTTGAAGCACTCTTTTTGTAGAATCTGCAAGTGGATATTTTGATACCTTTGAGGATTTCGTTGGACACGGGATATCTTCATATAAAATCTAGACAGAAGCATTCTCAGAAACTTCTTTGTGATGTATGTCCTCAATTAACAGAGTTGAACCTTTGTTTCGATACAGCATTTTGGAAACATTCCTTTAGTAGAATCTGCAAGTTGATATTTAGATAGCTAGGAAGATTTCGTTGGAAACGGGAATATCTTCATATAAAATCTAGACGGAAGCATTCTCAGAAAGTGTTTTGTGATGTTTGCATTCAAGACACAGAGTTGAATATTCCCTTTTATAGAGCAGGTTTGAAACACTCTTTCTGCACTACCTGGAAGTGGACATTTGGAGCGCTTTGAGGCCTATGTTGAAAAAGGAAATATCCTCCCATAAAAACTAGACAGAAGCATTCTCAGAAACTTGTTTGTGATGTGTGTATTCAACTAACAGAGATGAACCTTTCTTTTTACAGAGCAGTTTTGAAACACTCTTTTTGTGGAATCTGAAAGTGGATATTTGGATATCTTTGAGGATTTCGTTGGAAACGGGATTACATATAAAATCTAGAGAGAAGCATTCTCAGGATCTTTTTTGTGATGTATGCATTCAAGTCACAGAACTGAACATTCCCTTTCATAGAGCATGTTTGAAACACTCTTTCTGTAGTATCTGCAAGCAGACGTTTCAAGCGCTTTCAGGCCTATGGTGAGAAAGGAAATATCTTCAAGTAAAAACTAGACAGAAGCATTCTCAGAAACTTATTTGCCATGTGTGTTCTCAACTAACAGAGTTGAAACTTTGTTTTGATACGGCATTTTGGAAACACTCTTTTTGTAGAATCTGCAGGTGGATATTCGGATAGCTTTGAAGGTTTCGTTGGAAACGGGAATATCTTCATATAAAATCTAGACGGAAGCACTCTCAGAAACTCCTTTGTGATGTTTTCATTCAAGTCACAGAGTAGAATGTTCCCTTTTATATACCAGGTTTGAGACACACTTTCTGCACTATCTGGAAGTGGACATTTGGAGCGCTTTGTGGCCTATGTTGAAAAAGGAAATATCTTCCCATAAAAACTAGACAGAAGCATTCTCAGAAACTTGTTTGTGATGTGTGTATTCAACTAACCGAGATGAACCTTTCTTTTTACAGAGCAGTTTTGAAACACTCTTTTTGTGGAATCTGAAAGTGGATATTTGGATAGCTTTGAGGATTTCGTTGGAAACGGGATTACATATAAAATCTAGGGAGAAGCATTCTCAGGAACTTCTTTGTGATGTTTGCATTCAAGTCACAGAACTGAACATTCCCTTTCATAGAGTCATGTTTGAAACACTCTTTCTGTAGTATCTGCAAACGGACATTTCAAGCGCTTTCAGGCCTATGGTGAGAAAGGAAATATCTTCAAATAAAAACTAGACAGAAGCATTCTCAGAAACTTATTTGCGATGTGTGTCCTCAACTAACAGAGTTGAACCTTTGTTTTGATACAACATTTTGGAAACACTCTTTTTGTAGAATCTGCAGGTGGATATTTGGATAGCTTTGAAGGTTTCGTTGGAAACGGGAATATCTTCATATAAAATCAAGACAGAAGCATTCTCAGAAACTTCTCTGTGATGTTTGCATTCAACTCATAGAGTTGAACACTTCCCTTCATAGAGCAGGTTTGAAACACTCTTTTTGTAATATTTGGAAGTGGACATTTGCAGCGCTTTGAGGCCTATGTTGAAACAGGAAATATCTTCTCCTAAAAACCAGACAGAAGCATTCTCAGAAACTTCCTTGTGATGTGTGTACTCAAGTAACAGAGTTGAACCTTACTTTTGACAGAGCCGTTTTGAAACAGTCTTTTTGTAGAATCTGGAAGTAGATATTTGGATACCTTTGAGGATTTCTTTGGAAACGGGATATCTTCATACAAATTCTAGACAGAAGCATTCTCAGAAACTTCTTTGTGCTGTATGTCCTCAATTAACAGAGTTGAACCTTTGTGTGGATACAGCATTTTGGAAACATTCCTTTAGTAGAATCTGCATGTTGATATTTAGATAGCTAGGAAGATTTCCTTGGAAACGGGAATATCTTCATATAAAATCTAGACGGAAGCATTCTGAGAAAATGCTTTGTGATGTCTTCATTCAAGTCACAGAGTAGAATGTTCCCTTTTATAGAGCAGGTTTGAAACACTCTGTGCACTACCTGGAAGTGGACATTTGGAGCGCTTTGAGGCCTATGTTGAAAAAGGAAATATCTTCCCATAGAAACTAGACAGAAGCATTCTCAGAAACTTGTTTGTGATGTGTGTATTCAACTAACAGAGATGAACCTTTCTTTTTACAGAGCAGTTTTGAAACACTCTTTTTGTGGAATCTGAAAGTGGATATTTGGATAGCTTTGAGGATTTCGTTGGAAACGGGATTACATGTAAAATCTAGAGAGAAGCATTCTCAGGAACTTCTTTGTGATGTTTGCATTCACGTCACAGAACTGAACATTCCCTTTCATAGAGCATGTTTGAAACACTCTTTCTGTAGTATCTGCAAACGGACATTTCAAGCGATTTCAGGCCTATGGTGAGAAAGGAAATATCTTCAAATAAAAACTAGACAGAAGGATTCTCAGAAACTTATTTGCGATGTGTGTCCTCAACTAACATAGTTGAACCTTTGTTTGGATACAACATTTTGGAAACACTCTTTTTGTAGAATCTGCAGGTGGATATTTGGATAGCTTTGAAGATTTCGTTGGAAACGGGAATATCTTCATATAAAATCAAGACAGAAGCATTCTCAGAAACTTCTCTGTGATGTTTGCATTCAACTCATAGAGTTGAACACTTCCCTTCATAGAGCAGGTTTGAAACACTCTTTTTGTAATATTTGGAAGTTGACATTTGCAGCGCTTTGAGGCCTATGTTGAAAAAGGAAATATCTTCTCCTCAAAACCAGACAGAAGCATTCTCAGAAACTTCCTTGTGATGTGTGTACTCAAGTAACAGAGTTGAACCTTACTTTTGACAGAGCCGTTTTGAAACAGTCTTTTTGTAGAATCTGGAAGTAGATATTTGGATACCTTTGAGGATTTCTTTGGAAACGGGATATCTTCATATAAAATCTAGACAGAAGCATTCTCAGAAACTTCTTTGTGCTGTATGTCCTCAATTAACAGAGTTGAACCTTTGTGTGGATACAGCATTTTGGAAACATTCCTTTAGTAGAATCTGCAAGTTGATATTTAGATAGCTAGGAAGATTTCCTTGGAAACGGGAATATCTTCATATAAAATCTAGACGGAAGCATTCTCAGAAACTGCTTTGTGATGTCTTCATTCAAGTCACAGAGTAGAATGTTCCCTTTTATAGAGCAGGTTTGAAACACTCTGTGCACTACCTGGAAGTGGACATTTGGAGCGCTTTGAGGCCTATGTTGAAAAAGGAAATATCTTCCCATAGAAACTAGACAGAAGCATTCTCAGAAACTTGTTTGTGATGTGTGTATTCAACTAACAGAGATGAACCTTTCTTTTTACAGAGCAGTTTTGAAACACTCTTTTTGTGGAATCTGAAAGTGGATATTTGGATAGCTTTGAGGATTTCGTTGGAAACGGGATTACATATAAAATCTAGGGAGAAGCATTCTCAGGAACTTCTTTGTGATGTTTGCATTCAAGTCACAGAACTGAACATTCCCTTTCATAGAGCAGGTTTGAAACACTCTTTCTGTAGTATCTGCAAGCGGACGTTTCAAGCGCTTTCAGGCCTATGGTGAGAAAGGAAATATCTTCAAGTAAAAACTAGACAGAAGCATTCTCAGAAACTAATTTGCCATGTGTGTTCTCAACTAACAGAGTTGAACCTTTGTTTTGATACAACATTTTGGAAACACTTTTTTGTAGAATCTGCAAGTGGATATTTGGATAGCTTTGAAGGTTTCGTTGGAAACGGGAATATCTGCATATAAAATCAAGACAGAAGCATTCTCAGAAACTTCTCTGTGATGTTTGCATTCAACTCATAGAGTTGAACACTTCCCTTCATACAGCAGGTTTGAAACACTCTTTTTGTAATATTTGGAAGTGGACATTTGCAGCGCTTTGAGGCCTATGTTGAAAAAGGAAATATCTTCCCATAAAAACTAGACAGAAGCATTCTCAGAAACTTGTTTGTGATGTGTGTATTCAACTAACAGAGATGAACCTTTCTTTTTACAGAGCAGTTTTGAAACACTCTTTTTGTGGAATCTGAAAGTGGATATTTGGATAGCTTTGAGGATTTCGTTGGAAACGGGATTACATATAAAATCTAGGGAGAAGCATTCTCAGGAACTTCTTTGTGATGTTTGCATTCAAGTCACAGAACTGAACATTCCCTTTCATAGAGCAGGTTTGAAACACTCTTTCTGTAGTATCTGCAAGCGGACGTTTGAAGCGCTTTCAGGCCTGTGGTGAAAAAGGAAATATCTTCAAATAAAAACTAGACAGAAGCATTCTCAGAAACTTATTTGCGATGTGTGTTCTCAACTAAAAGAGTTGAACCTTTGTTTGGATACAACGTTTTGGAAACACTCTTTTTGTAGGATCTGCAAGTGGATATTTGGTTAGCTTTGAAGGTTTCGTTGGAAACCGGAATATCTTCATATAAAATCAAGACAGAAACATTCTCAGAAACTTTTCTGTGATGTTTACATTCAACTCATAGAGGTGAACACTTCCCTTCATACAGCAGGTTTGAAACACTCTTTTTGTAATATTTGGAAGTGGACATTTGCAGCGCTTTGAGGCCTATGTTGAAGAACGAAATATCTTCTCCTAAAAACCAGACAGAAGCATTCTCAGAAACTTCCTTGTGATGTGTGTACTCAAGTAACAGAGTTGAACCTTCCTTTTGACAGAGCAGTTTTGAAGCACTCTTTTTGTAGAATCTGCAAGTGGATATTTTGATACCTTTGAGGATTTCGTTGGACACGGGATATCTTCATATAAAATCTAGACAGAAGCATTCTCAGAAACTTCTTTGTGCTGTATGTCCTCAATTAACAGAGTTGAACCTTTGTGTGGATACAGCATTTTGGAAACATTCCTTTAGTAGAGTCTGCAAGTTGATATTTAGATAGCTAGGAAGATTTCCTTGGAAACGGGAATATCTTCATATAAAATCTAGACGGAAGCATTCTCAGAAAGTGCTTTGTGATGTTTGCATTCAAGTCACAGAGTTGAATATTCCCTTTTATAGAGCAGGTTTGAAACACTCTTTCTGCACTACCTGGAAGTGGACATTTGGAGCGCTTTGAGGCCTATGTTGAAAAAGGAAATATCTTCTCCTAAAAACCAGACAGAAGAATTCTCAGAAACTTCCTTGTGATGTGTGTACTCAAGTAACAGAGTTGAACCTTACTTTTGACAGAGCCGTTTTGAAACAGTCTTTTTGTAGAATCTGGATGTAGATATTTGGATAGCTTTGAGGATTTCTTTGGAAACGGGATATCTTCATATAAAATCTAGACAGAAGCATTCTCAGAAACTTCTTTGTGCTGTATGTCCTCAATTAACATAGTTGAACCTTTGTCCGGATACAGCACTTTGGAAACACTCCTTTAGTAGAATCTGCAAGTTGATATTTAGATAGCTAGGAAGATTTCCTTGGAAACGGGAATATCTTCACATAAAATCTAGACGGAAGCATTCTCAGAAACTTCTCTGTGATGCTTGCATTCAACTCATAGAGTTGAACACTTCCTTTCATAGAGCTGGTTTGAAATACTCTTTTTGTAATATTTGGAAGTGGACATTGGCAGCGCTTTGAAGCCTATGGTGAAAAAGGAGATATCTTCTCCTAAAAACCAGACAGAAGCATTCTCAGAATCTTTCTTGTGATGTGTGTACTCAAGTAACAGAGTTGAACCTTCATTTTGACAGAGCAGTTTTGAAGCACTCTTTTTGTAGAATCTGCAAGTGGATATTTTGATACCTTTGAGGATTTCGTTGGACACGGGATATCTTCATATAAAATCTAGACAGAAGCATTCTCAGAAACTTATTTGCCATGTGTGTTCTCAACTAACACAGTTGAACCTTTGTTTTGATACGGCATTTTGGAAACACTCTTTTTGTAGAATCTGCAGGTGGATATTCGGATAGCTTTGAAGGTTTCGTTGGAAACGGGAATATCTTCATATAAAATCTAGACGGAAGCATTCTCAGAAACTTGTTTGTGATGAGTGTATTCAACTAACAGAGATGAACCTTTCTTTTTACAGAGTAGTTTTGAAACACTCTTTTTGTGGAATCTTAAAGTGGATATTTGGATAGCTTTGAGGAATTCGTTGGAAACGGGATTACATATAAAATCTAGGGAGAAGCATTCTCAGGAACTTCTTTGTGATGTTTGCATTCACGTCACAGAACTGGACATTCCCTTTCATAGAGCATGTTTGAAACACTCTTTCTGTAGTATCTGCAAACGGACATTTCAAACGCTTTCAGGCCTATGGTGAGAAAGGAAATATCTTCAAATAAAAACTAGACAGAAGCATTCTCAGAAACTTATTTGCGATGTGTATCCTCAACTAACAGAGTTGAACCTTTCTTTTGATACAACATTTTGGAAACACTCTTTTTGTGGAATCTGCAATTGGATATTTGGATAGCTTTGAAGGTTTCATTGGAAACGGGAATATCTTCATATAAAATCAAGACAGAAGCATTCTCAGAAGCTTCTCTGTGATGTTTGCATTCAACTCATAGAGATGAACACTTCCCTTCATACAGCAGGTTTGAAACACTCTTTTTGTAATATTTGGAAGTGGACATTTGCAGCGCTTTGAGGCCTATGATGAAAAAGGAAATATCTTCCCATAAAAACTAGACAGAAGCATTCTCAGAAACTTGTTTGTGATGTGTGTATTCAACTAACAGAGATGAACCTTTCTTTTTACAGAGTAGTTTTGAAACACTCTTTTTGTGGAATCCGAAAGTGGATATTTGGATAGGTTTGAGGAATTCGTTGGAAACGGGATTACATATAAAATGTAGGGAGAAGCATTCTCAGGAACTTCTTTGTGATGTTTGCATTCAAGTCACAGAACTGAACATTCCCTTTCATAGAGCAGGTTTGAAACACTCTTTCTGTAGTATCTGCAAGCGGACGTTTGAAGCGCTTTCAGGCCTGTGGTGAAAAAGGAAATATCTTCAAATAAAAACTAGACAGAAGCATTCTCAGAAACTTATTTGCCATGTGTGTTCTCAACTAAAAGAGTTGAACCTTTGTTTGGATACAACATTTCGGAAACACTCTTTTTGTAGAATCTGCAAGTGGATATTTGGATAGCTTTGAAGGTTTCGTTGGAAACGGGAATACCCCATATAAACTCAAGACAGAAGCATTCTCAGAAACTTCTCTGTGATGTTTGCATTCAACTCATAGAGTTGAACACTTCCTTTCATAGAGCATGTTTGAAACACTCTGTACACTACCTGGAAGTGGACATTTGCAGCGCTTTGAGGCCTATGTTGAAAAAGGAAATATCTTCCCATAAAAACTAGACAGAAGCATTCTCAGAAACTTGTTTGTGATGTGTGTATTCAACTAACAGAGATGAACCTTTCTTTTTACAGAGCAGTTTTGAAACACTCTTTTTGTGGAATCTGAAAGTGGATATTTGGATAGCTTTGAGGATTTCGTTGGAAACGGGATTACATATAAAATCTAGGGAGAAGCATTCTCAGGAACTTCTTTGTGATGTTTGCATTCAAGTCACAGAACTGAACATTCCCTTTCATAGAGCAGGTTTGAAACACTCTTTCTGTAGTATCTGCAAGCGGACGTTTCAAGCGCTTTCAGGCCTATGGTGAGAAAGGAAATATCTTCAAATAAAAACTAGACAGAAGCATTCTCAGAAACTTATTTGCGATGTGTGTTCTCAACTAACAGAGTTGAACCTTTGTTTTGATACAACATTTTGGAAACACTCTTTTTGTAGAATCTGCAAGTGGATATTTGGATAGCTTTGAAGGTTTCGTTGGAAACGGGAATATCTTCATATAAAATCAAGACAGAAGCATTCTCAGAAACTTCTCTGTGATGTTTGCATTCAACTCATAGAGTTGAACACTTCCCTTCATAGAGCAGGTTTGAAACACTCTTTTTGTAATATTTGGAAGTGGACATTTCCAGCGCTTTGAGGCCTATGTTGAAAAAGGAAATATCTTCTCCTAAAAAGCAGACAGAAGCATTCTCAGAAACTTCCTTGTGATGTGTGTACTCAAGTAACAGAGTTGAACCTTCCTTTGGACAGAGCAGTTTTGAAGCACTCTTTTTGTAGAATCTGCAAGTGGATATTTTGATAGCTTTGAGGATTTCGTTGGACACGGGATATCTTCATATAAAATCTAGACAGAAGCATTCTCAGAAACTTATTTGTGCATGTATGTCCTCAATTAACAGAGTTGAACCTTTGTGTGGATACAGCATTTTGGAAACACTCTTTTTGTAGAATCTGCAGGTGGATATTTAGATAGCTTTGAAGATTTCGTTGGAAACGGGAATATCTTCATATAAAATCTAGACGGAAGCATTCTCAGAAACTGCTTTGTGATGTTTTCATTCAAGTCACAGAGTAGAATGTTCCCTGTTATATACCAGGTTTGAGACACTCTTTCTGCACTACCTGGAAGTGGACATTTGGAGCGCTTTGAGGCCTATGTTGAAAAAGGAAATATCTTCCCATAAAAACTAGACAGAAGCATTCTCAGAAACTTGTTTGTGATGTGTGTATTCAACTAACAGAGATGAACCTTTCTTTTTACAGAGCAGTTTTGAAACACTCTTTTTGTGGAATCTGAAAGTGGATATTTGGATAGCTTTGAGGATTTCGTTGGAAACGGGATTACATATACAATCTAGGGAGAAGCATTCTCAGGAACTTCTTTGTGATGTTTGCATTCAAGTCACAGAACTGAACATTCCCTTTCATAGAGCAGCTTTGAAACACTCTTTCTGTAGTATCTGCAAGTGGACGTTTCAAGCGCTTTCAGGCCTGTGGTGAAAAAGGAAATATCTTCAAATAAAAACTAGACAGAAGCATTCTCAGAAACTTATTTGCGATGTGTGTTCTCAACTAACAGAGTTGAACCTTTGTTTTGATACAGCATTTTGGAAACACTCTTTTTGTAGGATCTGCAGGTGGATATTTGGATAGCTATGAAGGTTTCGTAGGAAACGGGAATATCTTCATATAAAATCAACACAGAAGCATTCTCAGAAACTTCTCTGTGATGTTTGCATTCAACTCATAGAGTTGAACACTTCCTTTCATAGAGCTGGTTTGAAATACTCTTTTTGTAATATTTGGAAGTGGACACTGGCAGCGCTTTGAAGCCTATGGTGAAAAAGGGGATATCTTCTCGTAAAAACCAGACAGAAGCATTCTCAGAATCTTTCTTGTGATGTGTGTACTCAAGTAACAGAGTTGAACCTTCCTTTTGACAGAGCAGTTTTGAAGCACTCTTTTTGTAGAATCTGCAAGTGGATATTTTGATACCTTTGAGGATTTCTTTGGACACGGGATATCTTCATATAAAATCTAGACAGAAGCATTCTCAGAAACTTCTTTGTGCTGTATGTCCTCAATTAACAGAGTTGAACCTTTGTTTCGATACAGCATTTTGGAAACATTCCTTTAGTAGAATCTACAAGTTGATATTTAGATAGCTAGGAAGATTTCCTTGGAAACGGGAATATCTTCATATAAAATCTAGACGGAAGCATTCTCAGAAAGTGCTTTGTGATGTTTGCATTCAAGTCACAGAGTTGAATATTCCCTTTTATAGAGCAGGTTTGAAACACTCTTTCTGCACTACCTGGAAGTGCACATTTGGAGCGCTTTGAGGCCTATGTTGAAAAAGGAAATATCTTCCCATAAAAACTAGACAGAAGCATTCTCAGAAACTTGTTTGTGATGTGTGTATTCAACTAACAGAGATGAACCTTTCTTTTTACAGAGCAGTTTTGAAACACTCTTTTTGTGGAATCTGAAAGTGGATATTTGGATAGCTTTGAGGATTTCGTTGGAAACGGGATTACATATAAAACCTAGAGAGAAGCATTCTCAGGAACTTCTTTGTGATGTTTGCATTCAAGTCACAGAACTGAACATTCCCTTTCATAGAGCAGGTTTGAAACACTCTTTCTGTAGTATCTGCAAGAGGACGTCTCAAGCGCTTTCAGGCCTATGGTGAGAAAGGAAATATCTTCAAGTAAAAACTAGACAGAAGCATTCTCAGAAACTTATTTGCCATGTGTGTTCTCAACTAACAGAGTTGAACCTTTGTTTTGATACGGCATTTTGGAAACACTCTTTTTGTAGAATCTGCAGGTGGATATTCGGATAGCTTTGAAGGTTTCGTTGGAAACGGGAATATCTTCATATAAAATCTAGACGGAAGCATTCTCAGAAACTCCTTTGTGATGTTTTCATTCAAGTCACAGAGTAGAATGTTCCCTTTTATATACCAGGTTTGAGACACACTTTGTGCACTATCTGGAAGTGGACATTTGGAGCGCTTTGTGGCCTATGTTGAAAAAGGAAATATCTTCCCATAAAAACTAGACAGAAGCATTCTCAGAAACTTGTTTGTGATGTGTGTATTCAACTAACAGAGATGAACCTTTCTTTTTACAGAGCAGTTTTGAAACACTCTTTTTGTGGAATCTGAAAGTGGATATTTGGATAGCTTTGAGGATTTCGTTGGAAACGGGATTACATATAAAATGTAGGGAGAAGCATTCTCAGGAACTTCTTTGTGATGTTTGCATTCAAGTCACAGAACTGAACATTCCCTTTCATAGAGCAGGTTTGAAACACTCTATCTGTAGTATCTGCAAGCGGACGTTTCAAGCGCTTTCAGGCCTGTGGTGAAAAAGGAAATATCTTCAAATAAAAACTAGACAGAAGCATTCTCAGAAACTTATTTGAGATGTGTGTTCTCAACTAACAGAGTTGAACCTTTGTTTTGATACAGCATTTTGGAAACACTCTTTTTGTAGGATCTGCAGGTGGATATTTGGATAGCTTTGAAGGTTTCGTTGGAAACGGGAATATCTTCATATAAAATCATGACAGAAGCATTCTCAGAAACTTCTCTGTGATGTTTGCATTCAACTCATAGAGTTGAACACTTCCCTTCATAGAGCAGGTTTGAAACACTCTTTTTGTAATATTTGGAAGTGGACATTTGCAGCGCTTTGAGGCCTATGTTGAAAAAGGAAATATCTTCTCCTAAAAACCAGACAGAAGCATTCTCAGAAACTTCCTTGTGATGTGTGTACTCAAGTAACAGAGTTGAACCTTACTTTTGACAGAGCCGTTTTGAAACAGTCTTTTTGTAGAATCTGGAAGTAGATATATGGATACCTTTGAGGATTTCTTTGGAAACGGGATATCTTCATAAAAAATCTAGACAGAAGCATTCTCAGAAACTTCTTTGTGCTGTATGTCCTCAATTAACAGAGTTGAACCCTTGTGTGGATACAGCATTTTGGAAACATTCCTTTAGTAGAATCTGCAAGTTGATATTTAGATAGCTAGGAAGATTTCCTTGGAAACGGGAATATCTTCATATAAAATCTTGACGGAAGCATTCTCAGAAACTGCTTTGTGATGTCTTCATTCAAGTCACAGAGTAGAATGTTCCCTATTATAGAGCAGGTTTGAAACACTCTGTGCACTACCTGGAAGTGGACATTTGGAGCGCTTTGAGGCGTATGATGAAAAAGGAAATATCTTCCCATAGAAACTAGACAGAAGCATTCTCAGAAACTTGTTTGTGATGTGTGTATTCAACTAACAGAGATGAACCTTTCTTTTTACACAGCAGTTTTGAAACACTCTTTTTGTGGAATCTGAAAGTGGATATTTGGATAGCTTTGAGGATTTCGTTGGAAACGGGATTACATATAAAATCTAGGGAGAAGCATTCTCAGGAACTTCTTTGTGATGTTTGCATTCAAGTCACACAACTGAACATTCCCTTTCATAGAGCAGGTTTGAAACACTCTTTCTGTAGTATCTGCAAGGGGACGTTTCAAGCGCTTTCAGGCCTGTGGTGAAAAAGGAAATATCTTCAAATAAAAACTAGACAGAAGCATTCTCAGAAACTGATTTGCGATGTGTGTTCTCAACTAACAGAGTTGAACCTTTGTTTGGATACTGCATTTTGGAAACACTCTTTTTGTAGGATCTGCAGGTGGATATTTGGATAGCTTAGAAGGTTTCGTTGGAAACGGGAATATCTTCATATAAAATCAAGACAGAAGCATTCTCAGAAACTTCTCTGTGATGTTTGCATTCAACTCATGGAGTTGAACACTTCCTTTCATAGAGCAGGTTTGAAACAGTCTGTGCACTACCTGGAAGTGGACATTTGGAGCGCTTTGAGGCCTATGTTGAAAAAGGAAATATCTTCCCATAAAAACTAGACAGAAGCATTCTCAGAAACTTGTTTGTGATGTGTGTATTCAACTAACAGAGATGAACTTTTCTTTTTACAGAGCAGTTTTGAAACACTCTTTTTGTGGAATCTGAAAGTGGATATTTGGATAGCTTTGAGGATTTCGTTGGAAACGGGATTACATATAAAATCTAGGGAGAAGCATTCTCAGGAACTTCTTTGTGATGTTTGCATTCAAGTCACAGAACTGAACATTCCCTTTCATAGAGCAGGATTGAAACACTCTTTCTGTAGTATCTGCAAGCGGACGTTTCAAGCGCTTTCAGGCCTGTGTTGAAAAAGGAAATATCTTCAAATAAAAACTAGACAGAAGCATTCTCAGAAGCTTATTTGCGATGTGTGTTCTCAACTAACAGAGTTGAACCTTTGTTTTGATACAGCATTTTGGAAACACTCTTTTTGTAGGATCTGCATGTGGATATTTGGATAGCTTTGAAGGTTTCGTTGGAAACGGGAATATCTTCATATAAAATCAAGACAGAAGCATTGTCAGAAACTTCTCTGTGATGTTTGCATTCAACTCATAGAGTTGAACACTTCCCTTCATAGAGCAGGTTTGAAACACTCTTTTTGTAATATTTGGAAGTGGACATTTACAGCGCTTTGAGGCCTATGTTGAAAAAGGAAATATCTTCCCATAAAAACTAGACAGAAGCATTCTCAGAAACTTGTTTGTGATGTGTGTATTCAACTAACAGAGATGAAGCTTTCTTTTTACAGAGCAGTTTTGAAACACTCTTTTTGTGGAATCTGAAAGTGGATATTTGGATAGCTTTGAGGATTTCGTTGGAAACGGGATTACATAAAAAATCTAGGGAGAAGCATTCTCAGGAACTTCTTTGTGATGTTTGCATTCAAGTCACAGAACTGAACATTCCGTTTCATAGAGCAGGTTTGAAACACTCTTTCTGTAGTATCTGCAAGCGGACGTTTCAAGCGCTTTCAGGCCTATGGTGAGAAAGGAAATATCTTCAAATAAAAACTAGACAGAAGCATTCTCAGAAACTTATTTGCGATGTGTGTTCTCAACTAACAGAGTTGAACCTTTGTTTTGATACAGCATTTTGGAAACACTCTTTTTGTAGGATCTGCAGGTGGATATTTGGATAGCTTTGAAGGTTTCGTTGGAAACGGGAATATCTTCATATAAAATCAAGACAGAAGCATTCTCAGAAACTTCTCTGTGATGTTTGCATTCAACTCATAGAGTTGAACACTTCCCTTCACAGAGCAGGTTTGAAACACTCTTTTTGTAATATTTGTAAGTGGACATTTGCAGCGCTTTGAGGCCTATGTTGGAAAAGGAAATATCTTCTCCTAAAAACCAGACAGAAGCATTCTCAGAAAGTTCCTTGTGATGTGTGTACTCAAGTAACAGAGTTGAACCTTACTTTTGACAGAGCCGTTTTGAAAAAGTCTTTTTGTAGAATCTGGAAGTAGATATTTGGATAACTTTGAGGATTTCTTCGGAAACGGGATATCTTCATAAAAAATCTAGACAGAAGCATTCTCAGAAACTTCTTTGTGCTGTATGTCCTCAATTAACAGAGTTGAAGCTTTGTGTGGATACAGCATTTTGGAAACATTCCTTTAGTAAAATCTGCAAGTTGATATTTAGATAGCTAGGAAGATTTCCTTGGAAACGGGAATATCTTCATATAAAATCTAGACGGAAGCATTCTCAGAAACTGCTTTGTGATGTATTCAATCAAGTCACAGAGTAGAATGTTCCCTTTTATAGAGCAGGTTTGAAACACTCTGTGCACTACCTGGAAGTGGACATTTGGAGCGCTTTGAGGCCTATGTTGAAAAAGGAAATATCTTCCCATAGAAACTAGACAGAAGCATTCTCAGAAACTTGTTTGTGATGTGTGTATTCAACTAACAGAGATGAACCTTTCTTTTTACAGAGCAGTTTTGAAACACTCTTTTTGTGGAATCTGAAAGTGGATATTTGGATAGCTTTGAGGATTTCGTTGGAAACGGGATTACATATAAAATCTAGGGAGAAGCATTCTCAGGAACTTCTTTGTGATGTTTGCATTCAAGTCACACAACTGAACATTCCCTTTCATAGAGCAGGTTTGAAACACTCTTTCTGTAGTATCTGCAAGCGGACGTTTCAAGCGCTTTCAGGCCTGTGGTGAAAAAGGAAATATCTTCAAATAAAAACTAGACAGAAGCATTCTCAGAAACTGATTTGCGATGTGTGTTCTCAACTAACAAAGTTGAACCTTTGTTTTGATACAGCATTTTGGAAACACTCTTTTTGTAGGATCTGCAGGTGGATATTTGGATAGCTTAGAAGGTTTCGTTGGAAACGGGAATATCTTCATATAAAATCAAGACAGAAGCATTCTCAGAAACTTCTCTGTGATGTTTGCATTCAACTCATGGAGTTGAACACTTCCTTTCATAGAGCAGGTTTGAAACACTCTGTGCACTACCTGGAAGTGGACATTTGGAGCGCTTTGAGGCCTATGTTGAAAAAGGAAATATCTTCCCATAGAAACTAGACAGAAGCATTCTCAGAAACTTGTTTGTGATGTGTGTATTCAACTAACACAGATGAACCTTTCTTTTTACAGAGCAGTTTTGAAACACTCTTTTTGTGGAATCTGAAAGTGGATATTTGGATAGCTTTGAGGATTTCGTTGGAAACGGGATGACATATAAAATCTAGGGAGAAGCATTCTCAGGAACTTCTTTGTGATGTTTGCATTCAAGTCACAGAACTGAACATTCCCTTTCATAGAGCAGGTTTGAAACACTCTTTCTGTAGTATCTGCAAGCGGACGTTTCAAGCGCTTTCAGGCCTGTGGTGAAAAAGGAAATATCTTCAAATAAAAACTAGACAGAAGCATTCTCAGAAACTTATTTGCCATGTGTGTTCTCAACTAACAGAGTTGAACCTTTGTTTTGATACAGCATTTTGGAAACACTCTTTTTGTAGGATCTGCAGGTGGATATTTGGATAGCTTAGAAGGTTTCGTTGGAAACGGGAATATCTTCATATAAAATCAAGACAGAAGCATTCTCAGAAACTTCTCTGTGATGTTTGCATTCAACTCATAGAGTTGAACACTTCCTTTCATAGAGCAGGTTTGAAACACTCTTTTTGTAATATTTGGAAGTGGACATTTGCAGCGCTTTGAGGCCTATGTTGAAAAAGGAAATATCTTCTCCTAAAAACCAGACAGAAGCATTCTCAGAAACTTCCTTGTGATGTGTGTACTCAAGTAACAGAGTTGAACCTTACTTTTGACAGAGCCGTTTTGAAACAGTCTTTTTGTAGAATCTGGAAGTAGATATTTGGATACCTTTGAGGATTTCTTTGGAAACGGGATATCTTCATAAAAAATCTAGACAGAAGCATTCTCAGAAACTTCTTGGTGCTGTATGTCCTCAATTAACAGAGTTGAACCTTTGTGTGGATACAGCATTTTGGAAACATTCCTTTAGTAGAATCTGCAAGTTGATATTTAGATAGCTAGGAAGATTTCCTTGGAAACGGGAATATCTTCATATAAAATCTTGACGGAAGCATTCTCAGAAACTGATTTGTGATGTCTTCATTCAAGTCACAGAGTAGAATGTTCCCTATTATAGAGCAGGTTTGAAACACTCTGTGCACTACCTGGAAGTGGACATTTGGAGCGCTTTGAGGCCTATGTTGAAAAAGGAAATATCTTCCCATAGAAACTAGACAGAAGTTATCTCAGAAACTTGTTTGTGATGTGTGTATTCAACTAACAGAGATGAACCTTTCTTTTTACAGAGCAGTTTCGAAACACTCTTTTTGTGGAATCTGAAAGTGGATATTTGGATAGCTTTGAGGATTTCGTTGGAAACGGGATTACATATAAAATCTAGGGAGAAGCATTCTCAGGAACTTCTTTGTGATGTTTGCATTCAAGTCACAAAACTGAACATTCCCTTTCATAGAGCAGGATTGAAACACTCTTTCTGTAGTATCTGCAAGCGGACGTTTCAAGCGCTTTCAGGCCTGTGGTGAAAAAGGAAATATCTTCAAATAAAAACTAAACAGAAGCATTCTCAGAAACTTATTTGCGACGTGTGTCCTCAAATAACAGCCTTGAACCTTTGTTTTGATACAGGAAACACTCTTTTTGTAGAATCTGCAGGTGGATATTTGGATAGCTTTGAAGGTTTCGTTGGAAACGGGAATATCTTCATATAAAATCAAGACAGAAGCATTCTCAGAAACTTCTCTGTGATGTTTGCATTCAACTCATAGAGTTGAACACTTCCCTTCATAGAGCAGGTTTGAAACACTCTTTTTGTAATATTTGTAAGTGGACATTTGCAGCGCTTTGAGGCCTATGTTGGAAAAGGAAATATCTTCTCCTAAAAACCAGACAGAAGCATTCTCAGAAAGTTCCTTGTGATGTGTGTACTCAAGTAACAGAGTTGAACCTTACTTTTGACAGAGCCGTTTTGAAAAAGTCTTTTTGTAGAATCTGGAAGTAGATATTTGGATACCTTTGAGGATTTCTTTGGAAACGGGATATCTTCATACAAAATCTAGACAGAAGCATTCTCAGAAACTTCTTTGTGCTGTATGTCCTCAATTAACAGAGTTGAACCTTTGTGTGGATACAGCATTTTGGAAACATTCCTTTAGTAGAATCTGCATGTTGATATTTAGATAGCTAGGAAGATTTCCTTGGAAACGGGAATATCTTCATATAAAATCTAGACGGAAGCATTCTGAGAAAATGCTTTGTGATGTCTTCATTCAAGTCACAGAGTAGAATGTTCCCTTTTATAGAGCAGGTTTGAAACACTCTGTGCACTACCTGGAAGTGGACATTTGGAGCGCTTTGAGGCCTATGATGAAAAAGGAAATATCTTCACATAGAAACTAGACAGAAGCATTCTCAGAAACTTGTTTGTGATGTGTGTATTCAACTAACAGAGATGAACCTTTCTTTTTACAGAGCAGTTTTGAAACACTCTTTTTGTGGAATCTGAAAGTGGATATTTGGATAGCTTTGAGCATTTCGTTGGAAACGGGATTACATATAAAATCTAGGGAGAAGCATTCTCAGGAACTTCTTTGTGATGTTTGCATTCAAGTCACAGAACTGAACATTCCCTTTCATAGAGCAGGTTTGAAACACTCTTTCTGTAGTATCTGCAAGCGGACGTTTCAAGCGCTTTCAGGCCTGTAGTGAAAAAGGAAATATCTTCAAATAAAAACTAGACAGAAGCATTCTCAGAAACTTATTTGCGATGTGTGTCCTCAACTAACAGAGTTGAACCTTTGTTTTGATACAACATTTTGGAAACACTCTTTTTGTAGAATCTGCAAGTGGATATTTGGATAGCTATGAAGGTTTCGTTGGAAACGGGAATATCTTCATATAAAATCAAGACAGAAACATTCTCAGAAACTTCTCTGTGATGTTTGCATTCAACTCATAGAGTTGAACACTTTCTTTCATAGAGGTGGTTTGAAATACTCTTTTTGTAATATTTGGAAGTGGACATTGGCAGCGCTTTGAAGCCTATGGTGAAAAAAGAGATATCTTCCCCTAAAAACCAGACAGAAGCATTCTCAGAATCTTTCTTGTGATGTGTGTAGTCAAGTAACAGAGTTGAACCTTCCTTTTGACAGAGCAGTTTTGAAGCACTCTTTTTGTAGAATCTGCAAGTGGATATTTTGATACCTTTGAGGATTTCGTTGGACACGGGATATCTTCATATAAAATCTAGACAGAAGCATTCTCAGAAACTTCTTTGTGATGTATGTCCTCAATTAACAGAGTTGAACCTTTGTTTCGATACAGCATTTTGGAAACATTCCTTTAGTAGAATCTGCAAGTTGATATTTAGATAGCTAGGAAGATTTCGTTGGAAACGGGAATATCTTCATATAAAATCTAGACGGAAGCATTCTCAGAAAGTGTTTTGTGATGTTTGCATTCAAGACACAGAGTTGAATATTCCCTTTTATAGAGCAGGTTTGAAACACTCTTTCTGCACTACCTGGAAGTGGACATTTGGAGCGCTTTGAGGCCTATGTTGAAAAAGGAAATATCCTCCCATAAAAACTAGACAGAAGCATTCTCAGAAACTTGTTTGTGATGTGTGTATTCAACTAACAGAGATGAACCTTTCTTTTTACAGAGCAGTTTTGAAACACTCTTTTTGTGGAATCTGAAAGTGGATATTTGGATATCTTTGAGGATTTCGTTGGAAACGGGATTACATATAAAATCTAGAGAGAAGCATTCTCAGGATCTTTTTTGTGATGTATGCATTCAAGTCACAGAACTGAACATTCCCTTTCATAGAGCATGTTTGAAACACTCTTTCTGTAGTATCTGCAAGCGGACGTTTCAAGCGCTTTCAGGCCTATGGTGAAAAAGGAAATATCTTCAAATAAAAACTAGACAGAAGCATTCTCAGAAACTTATTTGCCATGTGTGTTCTCAACTAACAGAGTTGAACCTTTGTTTTGATACAGCATTTCGGAAACACTCTTTTTGTAGAATCTGCAAGTGGATATTTGGATAGCTTTGAAGGTTTCGTGGAAACGGGAATATCTTCATATAATATCAAGACAGAAGCATTCTCAGAAACTTCTCTGTGATGTTTGCATTCAACTCATGGAGTTGAACACTTCCTTTCATAGAGCAGGTTTGAAACACTCTGTGCACTACCTGGAAGTGGACATTTGGAGCGCTTTGAGGCCTATGTTGAAAAAGGAAATATCTTCCCATAGAAACTAGACAGAAGCATTCTCAGAAACTTGTTTGTGATGTGTGTATTCAACTAACAGAGATGAACCTTTCTTTTTACAGAGCAGTTTTGAAACACTCTTTTTGTGGAATCTGAAAGTGGATATTTGGATAGCTTTGAGGATTTCGTTGGAAACGGGATTACATATAAAATCTAGGGAGAAGCATTCTCAGGAACTTCTTTGTGATGTTTGCATTCAAGTCACAGAACTGAACATTCCCTTTCATAGAGCAGGTTTGAAACACTCTTTCTGTAGTATCTGCAAGCGGACGTTTCAAGCGCTTTCAGGCCTGTGGTGAAAAAGGAAATATCTTCAAATAAAAACTAGACAGAAGCATTCTCAGAAACTTATTTGCGATGTGTGTTCTCAACTAACAGAGTTGAACCTTTGTTTTGATACAGCATTTTGGAAACACTCTTTTTGTAGGATCTGCAGGTGGATATTTGGATAGCTTTGAAGGTTTCGTTGGAAACGGGAATATCTTCATATAAAATCAAGACAGAAGCATTCTCAGAAACTTCTCTGTGATGTTTGCATTCAACTCATAGAGTTGAACACTTCCCTTCATAGAGCAGGTTTGAAACACTCTTTTTGTAATATTTGTAAGTGGACATTTGCAGCGCTTTGAGGCCTATGTTGGAAAAGGAAATATCTTCTCCTAAAAACCAGACAGAAGCATTCTCAGAAAGTTCCTTGTGATGTGTGTACTCAAGTAACAGAGTTGAACCTTACTTTTGACAGAGCCGTTTTGAAAAAGTCTTTTTGTAGAATCTGGAAGTAGATATTTGGATACCTTTGAGGATTTCATTGGAAACGGGAATATCTTCATATAAAAACCAGACAGAAGAATTCTCAGAAACTACTTTGTGATGTTTGCATTCTAATCACAGAGTTGAACATTCCCTTTCATAGAGCAGGTTTGAAACACTCTTTTTGTAGTATCTGCAAGAGGACATTTGGAGTGCTTTGAGGTCTATGGTGAAAAAGGAAGTATCTTCCCATGAAAACGAGATAGAAGCAATCTCATAAACTTGTTTATGCTGTATCTCCTCAAGAAACAGTGTTGAACCTTTCTATTGATATAGCAGTTTTGAAACACTCCTTTTGTAGAATTTGCCAGTGGATATTTCGATAGCTTTGAGGATTTCGTTGGAAACGGGAATGTCTTCGTATAAAATATAGACAGAAGCATTCTCAGAAACTTCTTCATGATGTTTGCATTCAAGTCACATATTTGAACATTCCCATTCATAGAGCAGGTTTGAAAAACTCTTTTTGTATTATCTGGAACCGGACATTTGGAGTGCTTTGAGGTCTATGGTGAAAAGGGAAATATCTTCCCATAAAAACTAGACAGAAGCATTCTCAAAAACTTGTTTGTGATGTGTGGACTCAACTAACAGATTTGAAGCTTTCTTTTGATAGAGCAGTTTTGAAACACTCTTTTTGAAGAACCTGCAAGTAGATATTTCGATATCTTTGAGGATTTCTTTGGAAAAGGGAATATCTTCTTATAAAATCTAGAGAGAAGCATTCTCAGAAACATCTTTGGATGTTTGCTTTCAAGTCAGAGAGTTGAACATTCCCTTTCAGAGAGCAAGTTTGAAACACTGTTTTTGTAGTATCTTGAGATGACTTTTGGAGCGCTTTGTGGCCTATGGTGAAAAAGGAAATATCTTCCCATAAAAACTAGACAGAAGCATTCTCAGAAACTTGTTTGTGATGTGTGTATTCAACTAACAGAGATGAACCTTTCTTTTTACAGAGCAGTTTTGAAACACTCTTTTTGTGGAATCTGAAAGTGGATATTTGGATAACTTTGAGGATTTCGTTGGAAACGGGATTACATATGAAATCTAGGGAGAAGCATTCTCAGGAACTTCTTTGTGATGTTTGCATTCAAGTCACAGAACTGAACATTCCCTTTCATAGAGCATGTTTGAAACACTCTTTCTGTAGTATCTGCAAACGGACATTTCAAGCGCTTTCAGGCCTATGGTGAGAAAGGAAATATCTTCAAATAAAAACTAGACAGAAGCATTCTCAGAAACTTATTTGCGATGTGTGTCCTCAACTAACAGACTTGAACCTTTGTTTTGATACAACATGTTGGAAACACTCTTTTTGTAGAATCTGCAGGTGGATATTTGGATAGCTTTGAAGGTTTCGTTGGAAACGGGAATATCTTCATATAAAATCAAGACAGAAGCATTCTCAGAAACTTCTCTGTGATGTTTGCATTCAACTCATAGAGTTGAACACTTCCCTTCATAGAGCAGGTTTGAAACACTCTTTTTGTAATATTTGGAAGTGGACATTTGCAGCGCTTTGAGGCCTATGTTGAAAAAGGAAATATCTTCTCCTAAAAACCAGACAGAAGCATTCTCAGGAACTTCCTTGTGATGTGTGTACTCAAGTAACAGAGTTGAACCTTACTTTTGACAGAGCCGTTTTGAAACAGTCTTTTTGTAGAATCTGGAAGTAGATATTTGGATACCTTTGAAGATTTCTTTGGAAACGGGATATCTTCATATAAAATCTAGACAGAAGCATTCTCAGAAACTTCTTTGTGCTGTATGTCCTCAATTAACAGAGTTGAACCTTTGTGTGGATACAGCATTTTGGAAACATTCCTTTAGTAGAATCTGCATGTTGATATTTAGATAGCTAGGAAGATTTCCTTGGAAACGGGAATATCTTCATATAAAATCTCGACGGAAGCATTCTCAGAAACTGCTTTGTGATGTCTTCATTCAAGTCACAGAGTAGAATGTTCCCTTTTATAGAGCAGGTTTGAAACACTCTGTGCACTACCTGGAAGTGGACATTTGGAGCGCTTTGAGGCCTATGTTGAAAAAGGAAATATCTTCCCATAGAAACTAGACAGAAGCATTCTCAGAAACTTGTTTGTGATGTGTGTATTCAACTAACAGAGATGAACCTTTCTTTTTAGAGAGCAGTTTTGAAACACTCTTTTTGTGGAATCTGAAAGTGGATATTTGGATAGCTTTGAGGATTTCGTTGGAAACGGGATTACATGTAAAATCTAGAGAGAAGCATTCTCAGGAACTTCTTTGTGATGTTTGCAGTCACGTCACAGAACTGAACATTCCCTTTCATAGAGCATGTTTGAAACACTCTTTCTGTAGTATCTGCAAACGGACATTTCAAGCGCTTTCAGGCCTATGGTGAGAAAGGAAATATCTTCAAATAAAAACTAGACAGAAGCATTCTCAGAAACTTATTTGCGATGTGTGTCCTCAACTAACAGAGTTGAACCTTTGTTTTGATACAACATTTTGGAAACACTCTTTTTGTAGAATCTGCAGGTGGATATTTGGATAGCTTTGAAGGTTTCGTTGGAAACGGGAATATCTTCATATAAAATCAAGACAGAAGCATTCTCAGAAACTTCTCTGTGATTTTTGCATTCAACTCATAGATTTGAACACTTCCCTTCATAGAGCAGGTTTGAAACACTCTTTTTGTAATATTTGGAAGTGGGCATTTGCAGCGCTTTGAGGCCTATGTTGAAAAAGGTAATATCTTCTCCTAAAAACCAGACAGAAGCATTCTCAGAAACTTCCTTGTGATGTGTGTACTCAAGTAACAGAGTTGAACCTTCCTTTTGACAGAGCCGTTTTGAAACAGTCTTTTTGTAGAATCTGGAAGTAGATATTTGGATACCTTTGAGGATTTCTTTGGAAACGGGATATCTTCATATAAAATCTAGACAGAAGCATTCTCAGAAACTTCTTTGTGATGTTTGCACTCAAATCACAGAGCTGAACATTCCCTTTCTTAGAGCACGTTTGAAACTCTCTTTTTGTAGTATCTGGAAGTGGACATTTGGAGTGATTTGAGGCCTATGGTGAAAAAGCAAATATCTTCCCATTAAAACTAGACAGAAGCATTCTCAAAACTTGATTGTGATGTGCGTACTCAAGTAAGAGAGTTGAACCATTCTTTTGATAGAACTGTTTTGAAACACTCTTTTTGTAGAATCTGCAAGTGCGTATTTGGATAGCTTTGAGGATTTCATTGCAAATGGGAATATCCATATAAAAAGTAGACAGAAGGATTCTCAGAAACTTCTTTGTAATGTTTGTATTCAAGTCACAGAGGTGAACATTGCCTTTCATAAAGCAGGTTTGACACACTCTTTTTATAGTATCTGGAAGTGGACATCTGGAGCGCTTTGAGGACTATGGTGAAAAAGGAACTATCTTCTCATAAAAACTAGAAAGAATCATTCTCAGAAACTTGTTTGTTATGTATGTACCCAACTAACAGAGTTGAACCTTTGTTTTGATAGAGCAGTTTTAAAGCAGTCTTTTTGTAGAACCTGCAAGTGGATATTTGGATAGCTTTGAGGATTTCTTTCGAAACGGGCATGTCAATATAAAAAGTAGACAGAAGCCTTCTCAGAAACTTCTTTGTAATGTTTGTATTCAACTCACAGAATTGAACATTCCCTTTCATAGAGGAGGTTTGAAACAGTCTTTTTTAGTATGTGGAAGTTGACATTTGGAGCACTTTGAGGCCTATGTTGAAAAAGGAAATATCTTCTCATAAAAACTAGACAGAAGCATTCTCAGAATCATGTTTGTGATGTGTGTACTCAACAAACAGAGTTGAACCTTTCTTTTCATAGAGCACTTTTGAAACACTCTTTTTGTAGAATCTGCAAGTGTATATTTGGATAGCTTTCAGGATTTCATTGGAAACGGGAATATCTTCATATAAAAACCAGACAGAAGAATTCTCAGAAACTACTTTGTGATGTTTGCATTCTAATCACAGAGTTGAACATTCCCTTTCATAGAGCAGGTTTGAAACACTCTTTTTGTAGTATCTGCAAGAGGACATTTGGAGTGCTTTGAGGTCTATGGTGAAAAAGGAAGTATCTTCCCATGAAAACGAGATAGAAGCAATCTCATAAACTTGTTTATGCTGTATCTCCTCAAGAAACAGTGTTGAACCTTTCTATTGATATAGCAGTTTTGAAACACTCCTTTTGTAGAATTTGCCAGTGGATATTTCGATAGCTTTGAGGATTTCGTTGGAAACGGGAATGTCTTCGTATAAAATATAGACAGAAGCATTCTCAGAAACTTCTTCATGATGTTTGCATTCAAGTCACATATTTGAACATTCCCATTCATAGAGCAGGTTTGAAAAACTCTTTTTGTATTATCTGGAACCGGACATTTGGAGTGCTTTGAGGTCTATGGTGAAAAGGGAAATATCTTCCCATAAAAACTAGACAGAAGCATTCTCAAAAACTTGTTTGTGATGTGTGGACTCAACTAACAGATTTGAAGCTTTCTTTTGATAGAGCAGTTTTGAAACACTCTTTTTGAAGAACCTGCAAGTAGATATTTCGATATCTTTGAGGATTTCTTTGGAAAAGGGAATATCTTCTTATAAAATCTAGAGAGAAGCATTCTCAGAAACATCTTTGGATGTTTGCTTTCAAGTCAGAGAGTTGAACATTCCCTTTCAGAGAGCAAGTTTGAAACACTGTTTTTGTAGTATCTTGAGATGACTTTTGGAGCGCTTTGTGGCCTATGGTGAAAAAGGAAATATCTTCCCATAAAAACTAGACAGAAGCATTCTCAGAAACTTGTTTCTGATGTGTGTACTCAAGTAACAGGTTTGAACCTTTCTTTTGATAGAGCAGTTTTGAAACCGTCTTTTGGTAGAATCTGCTAGTGGATATTTGGATAGCTTTGAGGATTTCGTTGGAAACGGTAATATCTTAAATAAAATCTACACAGAAGCATTCTCAGAAACTTCTTTGTGATGTTTGCATTCAAGTCACAGAGGTGAACATTCCCATTCATAGAGAAAGTTTGAAACACTCTTTTTATAGTATCTGAAAGTGGTCATTTGTTGCGCTTTGTGGCTTACGTTGAAAAAGGAAATATCTTCCCATAAAAACCAGACAGAAGCATTCTCAGAAACTTGTTTGTGATGTGTGTATTCAACTAACAGAGATGAACCTTTCTTTTTACAGAGCAGTTTTAAAGCACTCTTTTTGTGGAATCTGAAAGTGGATATTTGGATAGCTTTGAGGATTTCGTTGGAAACGGGATTACATATAAAATCTAGAGAGAAGCATTCTCAGGAACTTCTTTGTGATGTTTGCATTCAAGTCACAGAATTGAACATTCCCTTTCATAGAGCAGGTTTGAAACACTCTTTCTGTAGTATCTGCAAGCGGACGTTTCAAGCGCTTTCAGGCCTATGGTGAGAAAGGAAATATCTTCAAATAAAAACTAGACAGAAGCATTCTCAGAAACTTGTTTGTCATGAGTGTACTCAAGTAACAGAGTTGAAGCTTTCTTTTGATAGAGCAGTTTTAAAATCGTCCTTTTGTAGAATCTGCAAATGGATATTTGGATATCTTTGAGGATTCCTTTGGAAATGGGAATATCTTCATATAAAATCTACACAGAAGCATTCTCAGAAACGTCTTTGTGATGTTTGCATTCAAGTCACGGAGTTGATTATTGCCTTTCATGGAGCAGGTTTGAAACACTCTTTTTGTAGTATCTGGAAGTGGACATTAGAAGCGCTTTGGCCCTGTGGTGAAAAGGAAATATCTTCCCATAAAAACTAGACAGAAGCATTCTCAGAAACTTGTTTGTCATGTATGTACTCAACTAACAGAGTTGAACCTTTCTTTTGATAGAGCAGTTTTGAATCACTCTTTTTGTGGAATCTTCAAGTGGATATTTGGATAGCTTTGAGGCTTTCGTTGGAAACGGGAATATCTTCACATAAAAGCTAGACAGAAGCATTCTCAGAAACTTCTTTGTGATGTTTGCATTCAACTCACAGAGTTGAACATTCCTTTTCATAGAACAGATTTGAAACACTCTTTTTGAAGAATGTGCAAGTGGACATTTGGTGCGATTTGAGACCTATGGTGAAAAAGGAGATAACTTCACACAAAAAGTAGACAGAAGCATCTCAGAAACTACTTTGTGATGTGTGTACTCAACTCTCAGAGTTAAACCTTTCGTTTCATACAGTAGTTTTGAAGCACTCTACTTGTAGTATTTATAAGTGGATATTAGGACAGCTTTGAGGATTTCGTTGGAAACGGGAATATCTTCACATAGAAACTAGACAGAAGCATTGTCAGATACTTCTTTCGGATGTTTGCATTCAACTCACTGTTTTGAACATTGCTTTTCTTAGAGCTGTTTTGAAACTCTTTTGGTAGAATCTGTAAGTGGAAACGTGGAGCGCTTTGAGGCCTATGGTGAAAAAAGGAATATCTTGCCATAAAAACCAGACAGAAGCATTCTCAGAAACTTCCTTGTGTTGTGTGTACTGAACTCAGAGTTGAAGCTTTCTTTAGATAGAGCAGTTTTGGAACACTGTTCTTGTAGATTTTACAAGTGGGTTTTAGGAGAGCATTGAGGGTTTCATTGGAAACGGGATTATTTTCACATAAAACTAGACAGAAGCATTCTGAGAAACTTCTTCGTGTTGCTTGCATTCAACTCAGAGAGTTGAACATTCCTTTTCATAGAGCAGTTTTGAAACACTCTTTTTGTAGATTCTGTAAGTGGATATTTGGTTCACTTAGAAGCCTATGGTGAAAAAGGAAATATCTTCGCATAAAAAATAGACAGAATTCTCAGAAACTTCCTTGTGATGTGTGTACTCAACTCACAGAGTTGAACTATTCTATTGATCGAGCAGTTTTGAAACACTTTTTGTAGAAACTGCAAGTGGATATGTGGATAGCTTGGAGGATTTCATTGGAAACGGGATTTTCTTTACATAAAAACCAGGCAGTAGCATTCTCAGAAACTACTTTGTGGTATTTGCATTCAACTCACAGAGTTGAACATTCCTTTCCATAGAGAAGTTTTGAAACACTCTTTTGTAGTATCTGGAAGTGGACATTTTGAGCGCTTTGAAGCCTATGGTGAAAAACAAAATTTCCTCACATAAAAACGAGACAGAAGCATTCTCAGAAACTTCTTTGTGATGTGTGTACTCAACTCACAGAGTTTAACATTTCTTTTGATACAGCAGGTTTGAAACACACTTTTTGTGGAATCTGCAAGTGGATATTTTGATAGCTTTGAGGCTTTCGTTGGAAACGGGAATATCTTCACATAAAAATTAGACAGAAGCATTCTCAGAAACTTCTTTGTGATGTTTGCATTCAACTCACAGACTTGAACATTCCCTTTCATAGAGCAGTTTTGAAACACTCTTTTTGTGAAATCTGCAAGTGGACATTTGGAGTGATTTGAGACCTGTGCTGAAAAACAAAATACCTTCACATAAAAAGTGGACAGAAGCATTCTCAGAAACTACTTTGTGAGGTGTGTACTCAACTCACAGAGTTAAACCTTTCCTTTGATATAGCAGTTTTGAAACTCTCTTCTTGTAGTCTTTACAAGTGGATATTAGGACAGCTTTGAGTATTTCATTTGAAACGGGAATACCTTCACATAAAAACTAGACAGAAGCATTCTGAGAAACTTCTTTGTGATGCTTGCATTCAACTCACTGAGTTGAACATTCCTTTTCATAGAGCAGTTTGGAAACACTCCTTTTGTAGAATGTGTAAGTGGAAACTTGGAGCTCTTTGAGGCCCATGGTGAAAAAGGTAATATCCTCCCATAAAAACTAGACAGAAGAATTCTCAGAAACTTCTTTGTGATGTGTGTACTCAACTCACAGAGTTGAACTTTTCTTTTCATAGAGCAGTTTTGAATCACACTTTTTGTTGAATCTGCAAGTGGATATTTGGATACCTTTGAGGATTTCGTTGGAAACGGGAATATCTACACATAAAACCAGACAGAAGCATTCTCAGAAACTACTGTGTGATGTTTGCATTCACCTCACAGAGATGAACATTCCTTTTGATAGAGAAGTTTTGAAACACTATTTTTGTTGTATCTGGTAGTTGACATTTGGGTCACTTTGACGCCTATGGTGAAAAACGAAATATCCTCACATAAAAACTAGGCAGAAGCATTCTCAGAAACTTGTTTGTGACGTGTGTACTCAACTAACAGAGTTGAACCTTTCTTTTGATAGAGCAGTTTTGAAACACTCTTTTTGTAGAATCTGCAGTGGATATTTGCATTGCTTTGAGGATTTCATTGGAAACAGGAATATCATCATATAAAATCTAGACAGAAGCATTCTCAGAAACATCTTTGTGACGTTTGCATACAAGTCACAGAGTTGAACATTCGCTTTCATAGAGCAGGTTTGAAACACTCTTTTTGTAGTATCTGAAAGTGGACACATGGAGCTCTTTGAGGCCTATGGTGAAAAAGGAAATATCTTCCCATAAAAACTAGACAGAGGCATTCTCAGAAACTTGTTTTTGATGTGTGTACT
Organism: Homo sapiens; assembly: GCF_000001405.40. NCBI lineage: Eukaryota > Metazoa > Chordata > Mammalia > Primates > Hominidae > Homo > Homo sapiens. Next base: position 60,549,798 of record NC_000009.12, on the reverse strand, counting down.
CAACTCAATGAGTTGCACATTCCTTTTCATAGAGCAGTTTTGGAACACTCTTTTTGTAGAATCTGTAAATGGAAACTTGGAGCGCTTTGAGGCCTATGGTGAAAAAGGAAATATCTTCCCATAAAAACTAGACAGAAGAATTCTCAGAAACTTCCTTGTGATGTGTGTACTGAACTCACAGAGTTGAACCTTTCTTTTGATACAGCAGTTTTGAAACACTCTTTCTGTAGAATCTGCAAGTGGATATTTGGATAGCTTTGAGGATTTCATTGGAAACGGGAATATCTTCACATAAAAACAACACAAAATCACTCTTAGAAACTTCTTGGGATGTTTTCATTCAACTCCCAGAGTTGAACATTTCCTTTCATAGAGCAGTTTTGAAACACTCTTTTTGTAGTATCTGGAATTGGACAATTGGAGGACTTTGAGGCCTATGGTGAAAAAGGAAATATCTTCTCATAAAAACTAGACCGAATGAATCTCAGAAACTTCTTTATGATGTGTGTACTCAACTCACAGAATTTAACATTTCTTTAGATAGAGCTGTTTTGAAATACTCTTCTTCTAGGTTTTACAAGTGGATATTATGACAGCTTTGAGGATTTCCTTTGAAATGGGAATATCTTCACATATAAACTAAACGGAAGCATTCTCAGAAACTACTTTGTGATGTTTGCATTCAACTCACCGAGTTGAACATTCCTTTTCATAGAGGAGTTTTGAAACTTTCCTTTTGTATTATCTGCAAGTGGACATATTGAGCGATTTGACTCCTATGGTGAAAGAGGAAATATCTTCACATGAAAAGTAGAGAGAAGCATTCTCAGAAACTACTTCGTGATGTGTGTACTCAGGTAACAGAGTTAAACCTTTCCTTTGATACAGCAGTTTTGAAAAACTCTTCTTGTAGAATTTACAAGTGGATATTAGGAGAGCATTGAGGATTTCGTTAGAAACGGGAATATTTTCACATAAAACTAGACAGAAGCATTCTGAGAAACTTCCTCTGGACGTTTGCATTCAACTCACAGAGTTGAACATTCCCTTTCATAGAGCAGTTTTGAAACACTCTTTTTGTAGAATCTGTAAGGGGACGTTTGGAGCGCTTAGAGGCCTATGGTGAAAAAGGAAATATCTTCGCATAAAAACTAGACAGAAGAATTCTCAGAAACTTCTTTTTGATGTGTGTACTCAACTCACAGAGTTGAACCTTTCTATTGATACAGCAGTTTTGAAACACTCTTTTTGTAGAATCTGCAAGTGGATATTTGGATAGCTTTGAAGCTTTCATTGGAAACGGGAATATCTTCACATAAAAACTAGACAGAAGCATTCTCAGAAACTTCTTTGTGATGCTTGCATTTAACTCACTGAGTTGAACATTCCTTTTCATAGAGCAGTTTTGAAACACTCTTTTTGTAGAATCCGCAAGTGGATGCTAGAAAGCTTTTAGACCTATGGTAGAAAAGGAAATATCTTCACATAAAAACAATACAGAAACATTCTGACAATCTTCTTTTTGATGTGTGCATTCATCTCACAGAGTTGAACCTTTCTTTTTACCGAGCTGCTTTGTAATCTTTTTGTAGAATCTGCAAGCGGACATTTGGAGCCCTTTGAGGCCTATGGTGGAAAAGGAAATATCTTCACATGAAAACTAGACAGAAGCATTCTGACAAACTTCTTTGTGATGTGTGAATTCGTCTCACAGATTATAACCTTACTTTTCATTGAGCAGTTTTGAAACACTCTTTTTGTAGAATTGGCAAGTGGCATATTTGGAACACTTTGAGGCCAATAGTGGAAAAGGAAACAGCTTCAGATAAAAACTAGACAGAAACATTCTGACAAACTTATTTGTGATATTTGCATTCATCTCACAGATTTGATCCTTTGTTTTGATTGATCAGATTTGAAACACTCTTTTTGTAGAATCTGCAAGTGGATATTTGGAGCACTTTGTGGCCTATGGTGGAAAAGGAAATATCTTCACAATAAAAACTAGATAGAAGCATTCTGACAAACTTCTTTGTGATGTGTGCATTCCTCTCACAGAGTTTAACCTTACTTTTCATTGAGCAGTTTTGAAACACTATTTTTGTAGTATCTGGAGGTGGACATTTGGAGCGCCTTGAGCCTTATTGTGGAAAAGGAAATATCTTCACATAAAAACTAAGCAGAAGCATTCTGACAAACTTCTTTGAGATGTATGCATTCATCTCACAGAGTTGCACCTTTCTTTAGATTGAACAGCTTTGATACACTCTTTTTGGAGAATCTGTAAGTGGACATTTGGAGCACTTTGAAGGTTATAGAAGAAAAGAAAATATCTTCACAGAAAAACGAGACAGAAGCATTCTGACAAACTTCCTTGTGATGTGTGCATTAATCTCACAGAGTTGAACCTTACTTTTCATTGATCAGTTTTGAAACACTGTTTTTGTAGAATCTGTAAGCGGACATTTGGAGCAATTTGACGCCTACGGTGGAAAAGGAAATATCTTCATATAAAAAGTAGACAAAAGGCACAGCACCGCCGCAGGCACCAGGAGGTGCACAGCACCGCCGCAGGCGCCGGGAGGTGCACAGCACCGCCGCAGGTGCCGGGAGGCGCACAGCACTACCGCAGGCCCAGGCTCCACTCCCCAGCTGTGAAAGGACCACTGGCCGAACCCCCAAGGTAGCCCACCAGGCCTCCATAGAGCTGCCCAGCATGGCCATGGCCAGTACCAAGAGTCGGTGGGAGACGGGTGAGGTACAGGCTGAGTCTGCAGCCAAGACTCCGTCCTGCAAGATGAAGGTAATGAAACAGAAGTGCAGCCACAACAAAACAGCCAGTTAATGTGGAAACAAGGTCGACAACTACTCAGACAAAGGTAGTTCACTTTCTCCAGATTACCACAGAAGACAGCTCTGTGGATCCTCCTCAGATGAGATGATTTAATGTGGTACTGGGGAAATGAGAAGCCATCCGAACACAAGTGCTCCCTGAGGGTGGGCCACCACTCCGGCTCATCTTCCATAATTGTCACTGCAAATTGTAGCCTGGGAACGCTCCAGCCATATTTCAGCTCACCTTCGGGGATCGCCACCTCCGAAGCACAACAACAAGCAATGCAGTCTGCCCATGGACCTTTGCACAGACTCAGCACTGCCCGCCTCTCAGCAGAAATGCCCAACAGAATGGTTAGGACCAGTGAGCATGTGCACCTTAGCTGGCCCCGCGCAACAGGCCCGAGGTGGAGAAACGGCCCTAACACTCTCTCGTGGCGCCCAGTGCAGGCGGCGATTTCTGCTCAGGTGCCTCGGGCTGGCGGGGCTCCCTGGAGCATGAGGCACACCCTGCCCCAGGGCCTGTTTGACTGTCGCCCACGCGCTCTTCTCCTCTTCCACTGGCTCCCGATGCTTGGAGCCCCCCACGCTGGGCCCTCTGCAGCCCAGGGATGGGATTGAGTGGTGCTTCTCCGCCTGGTGCTGCCACTGGGCCCACAGCCCTACTTCGTCACTACGTCACCCGTGGGGTCTGCGCTGATGGAAGTGAGGTGGGAGGATGGGATCAGGGGTTGCCACCGCTGCAGCCAGTGCACCACTTGCAGGTGGCAGCTGCAGCTCGGGCTCTGGCAGAGGCTGGCGGGGTTCCCCTGGGATGGCCTCCTGGGCCCTGAGTGCACCGCCCATCTGGCCAGAGTGTGCATGCCTCCTGCACCGCGGGCCAAAACCCATGCCCGGCGCTCCTGCCGCAGACTACCTGACTTGCTGAGGCCGGGCTGGCCCCGGGGTCCGCGCGGCTGGAGGCGCTCGCCTGGTCACGGATTCCCAATCCTCAGCGACCCCTGCTCCATGTGCTGGTGGCGGCTGCAGCTGCAGTGTCTGTGGGCCAACGTGGCTTCCCAGAGCTGCAGTGGCTTCCCGGAGCTGCGGCCGGCCATGCCCCAGGGCCCGACAGGCTGCGCTGCCCTTGCCAGCTGCTCCTGACCCATGCCCAGAGTGCAGGACCTGGCACTTGGCACCCTGCATCCATGGCGTTGAGGCTGAGTGCCGGTTCTTGGCCTCGTGGTGCCGCTGTGGCCACAGTCTGACTTGACCTCCCCGTCGCCCAAGTCTTGTGATGGGCACGTGTGAGGAGGGGCAATCAGGGTTCCCAAGGCTGCTGCCTGCATGCCACTCCATGGCCACTAGGATAGGGCTGAGGAGCCGCCAGGGGATGAGCACATCGTGGCCATCGGGATGGGGCTGAGAGTCTATCTTTATCGTTATGCACCTGCCCAGCCGACTTCCCGACAGCCACTACTGCAGCATCCTGTCAGGGAGTACTTGTTGTTGGGGCGGGGATGGGGATGGCATGGAGAATCAGGGATGGTCTGGCCATTGCTGCTGGTGCCTGATGTGCAGGTGGCAGCTGCACCTTGGGCACGGGCTGGTAGGTCTTCTCTTTTGGATGGTTTCCAGGTGGCCCATTGTGCTGTGACCAAGCCAGAGGGTCCACTCCACCTTAGCCCACACTAGGAGTCCAGGGGCTACAGGTGTGGGTACTGTGTGGCCAACCAGAAGGGGCTCAGCAGCCAGTTCAGCTTTCCTGCCTTTGCAGGGCTTTTTAAAAAAATTTTTTTATTTAACATTTTCTAAAAATATATACAAAAAGAAGCATATCAAACATATTAGGAAGGTTGCACATGGGAAGATGGGGAATAGAAATGGGGGGTGGGAATGAAAGAAAATAAATGAGAGAGGGACTTTGTATTGATCAATGATAATAACTCAATCCTCTATGTCTTTGAAAAGAAGGAGAAGGAAGAGGAAGAAAAAGAAAGTGGGATAAAGGATCAGAAAGGGAGGAAAATAGAAAAACTTAGAGTATGACTCCAGGGTAGACCTGTTTTGTTGTTGCTGGGTTGGTTGGTTGGTTGGTTTGTTGTAATTTTCATATGTTTTGCCATGTTGGCCAGGCTGGTCTCAAACCCCTAGCCTCAAGTGATCAACCCGCCTTGGCCTCCCAGAGTGCTGGGATTACAGGCGTGAGCCACCACGTCCAGCCCCCACACTGCGTCTGGCCTCCGTGGTAGACCTCCCAGACAGGGTGGCCAGGCAGAGGCACTCCTCACTTCCCAGATGGGGCAGCCAGGCAGAGGCGCTCCTCACTTCCCAGACGGGGTGGCCAGGCAGAGGAGCTCCTCACTTCCCAGATGGGGCGGCCGGGCAGAGGCACTCCTCACGTCCCAGATCCACAAAAGAAGTGAAAATAGCCTTAACTGATGACATTCCACCATTGTGATTTGTTTCTGCCCCACCCTAACTGATGTACTTTGTAATCTCCCCCACCCTTAAGAAAGTTCTTTGTAATCTCCCTCACCCTTGAGAAGGTTCTTTGTAATTCTCCCCACCCTTGAGAATGTACTTTGTGAGATCCAACCCCTGCCGGCAAAACATTGCTCCTAACTCCACTGCCTATCCCAAAACCTATAAGAACTAATGATAATCCGATCACCCTTTGCTCTCTTTTCAGACTCAGCCCACCTGCACCCAGGTGAAATAAACAGCCTTGTTGCTCACAAAAAAAAAAAAAAGACAAAAGCATTCTGACAAAATTCTTCATGAGGCATGCGTTCATCTCACAGAATTGAACTTTTCTTTTGATTGAGCAGCTTTGAAACACACTTTTTTTAGAATCTGCAAGTGTACATTTCGAGTGCTTTGAGGCCTATAGTAGAAAACGACTTATCTTCACATAAAAACTGGACAGAAGCATTCTGAAAAACTACTTTGTGATGTCTGCATTCATCTCAAAGAGTTGAACCTTACTTTTGATTGGTCAGTTTTGAAACACCATTTTTGTAGAATCTGCAAGTGTGCATTTGGAGAACTTTGAGGCCTATGGTGGAAAAGGAAATATCTTCACAACAAAACTAGACAGAAGCATTATGAGAAACTTCTTTGTGATGTTTGCATTCATCTCACACAGAGTTGAACTGTTCTTTTAATTGAGCAGCTTTGAAACCCTCTTTTTTTAGAATCTGCAAGAGGCCATGTGGAGAGCTTTGAGGCCTACCGTGGAAAAGGAAATATGTTCACATAAAAACTAGACAGAAGCATTCTTACAAACTTCTTTGAGATGTGGGCATTCAGCTCACAGTGTTGAACCTTTCTTTTCATTGAGCAGCTTTGAAACACTCTTTTTGTTGAATCTGCAAGTGGACATTTCGAGCACTTTCTGGCCTATTGTGGAAAAGGACATATCATCATATAAAAACTAGACAGAAGCATTCTGACAAACTTCTTCATGAAGTGTGTATTCATCTCACAGTTGAATCTTTCTTTTCATTTAGCAGTTTTTAAACACTCTGTTTGTAGAATCTACAAGTGGACATTTGGAGCACTTTGAGGCCTATGGTGGAAAAGGAAATATTTTCACAAAAAAAATAGACAGAAGCATTCTGATAAACTTCATTGTGATCTGTGCATTCATGTCACAGAGATGAACGTTTCTTTTGATTGAGCAGCTTTGAAACACTCTTTCTGTAGAATCTGCAACTGGACCTGTGGAACGCTTTGGGGCCTATCATGGAAAAGGAAATATGTTCACATAAAACCTAGACAGAAGCATTCTGACAGACTTCTTTGTGATTTGTGCATTCATCTCATAGAGTTGAACCTTACTTTTCATTGAGCAGCTTTGAAACACTCTTTTTGTAGAATGTGCAAGTGGACATTAGGAGCGCTTTGATGCCTATGTTGGAAAAGAAAATATCTTCACATAAAAACTAGACAGAAGCATTCTGAAAAACTTCTCTTGGATGTGTGCATTCATCTCACAGAGGTGAACCTTTCTTTTCATTGAGCAGTTTTGAAACACTCATTTTGTAGAATCTGCAAATGGATATTTGGAGCGCTTTGAGGTCTATGGTGGAAAAGGAAATATCTTCACATGAAAACTAGACAGAAGCATTCTGACAAAAAACTTTGTAATGTGTGTACTCATCTCACAGAGTATAAACCTACTTTTCATTGAGCAGTTTTGAAACACTCTTTTTCTAGAATCTGCAAGTGGACATTTGGAGCCCTTTGAGGCCTATGGTGGAAAAGGAAATATCTTCACATAAAAACTAGACAGAAGCATTCTGACAAACTTCTTTGTGATGTGTGCATTCATCTCACAGAGTTGAACCTTACTTTTCATTGAGCAGCTTTGAAACACTCTTTCTGTAGAATCTGGAAGCGGACATTTGCAGCACTTTGATGTCCATGGTGGAAAAGAAATTATCTTCACATGAAAACAAGACAGAAGCTTTTTGAAAAACTTCTATGTGACATGTGCCTTCATCTCAGAGAGTTGAACCTTTCCTTTGTTTGAGCAGCTTTGAAACAATCTTTTTGTAGAATCTGCAAGTGGACTATTCGAGCATCTTGTGGTCTATGGTGGAAAATGAAACATCTTCACATAAAAACTACACAGAAAAATTCTGAGAATCTTCTTTTTGATGTGTGCATTCACCTCACAGAATTGAACGTTACTTTTCATTGAGCAGTCTTGCATCTCTCTTTTTGTAGAATCTGCAAGTGGACATTTGGAGCGCCTTGAGGTCTCTGGTGGAAAAGGAAAGATCTTCACATGAAAACTAGACAGAAGCATTCTCACAAACTTCCTTGTGATGTGTGCATTCATCTCCCAGACGTGAACCTTTCTTTTGATCGAGCAGCTTTGAAACACGCTTTTTGTAGAATCTGCAAGTGGACATTTGGAGCACTTTGAGGCCTATGGTGGAAAAGGGAATATTTTCACATAAAAATTAGACAGATGCATTCTGACAAGCTTCTTTGTGATGTGTGCATTCATCTCACAGAATTGTAACTTTCTTTTCATTGAGCAGCTTTGAAACACTCTTTTTGTAGAATCTGCAAGTGGACATTGGAGCACTTTGAGGCCTATTATGGAAAATCAAATATCTTCACATAAAAACTAGACAGAAGCATTATGACAAACTTATTTGTGATGCGTGTGTTCATCTCACAGAGTTGAACCTTTCTTTTGATTGAGCAGTTTGGAAACACTCTTTTTGTAGAATCTGCAAGTGGACATTTCAAGCACTTTGAGGCCAATGTGGAAAAGGTAATATCTTCATATAAAAACTAGATAGAAGCATTCTGAGAAACTTCTTTGTGATGTGTGCATTCACCTCCCAGAGTTGAATCTTTCCTTTGAAAGACCAGTTTTGAAATACTCTTTTTGAAGAATCTGCAAGTGGACATTTAAAGCGCTTTGCGTGCTATGGTAGAATAGGAAATATCTTCACATAAAATCTAGACAGAAGGAATCTGAGAAACTTCTTTGTGATGTATGCATTTATCTCACCATGTTAAACCTTTCTTTGGATTGAGCAGTTTTGAAACTCTCATTTGTAGAAGCTGCAAGTAGACCTTTGGAGCGGTTTGAGGCCTATCCTGGAAAAGGGAATATCTTAACATAATAACTAGACAGAAGAATTCTGAGAAACTTCTTTGTGATTTGTGTGGTCATCTCACAGAGTTGAAACTTTCTTTTATTTAGCATTTTGGAAACAATCTTTTTGATGATTCTGCTAGTGGATCTTTGGAGCGCTTTGTGGCCTATGGCAGTAAAGAAAATATCTTCACATAAAATCTAGACAGAAGGAATCGGAGAAACTTTTTGTGATGTGTCTATTCATCTCACAGAGTTAAACCTTTCTTCTGATTGTGCAGTTTTGAAACTCTGTTTTTGTAGAAAATGCAATTTGACATTTTTAGCACTTTGAGGCCTATGGTGTAAAAGGAAATATCTTCACATAAAAACTAGACAGAAGAATTCTGAGAAACATCATTGTGATGTGTGCGTTCATCTCACAGTGTTGAACCTTTCTTTTGATTGAGCAGTTTTGAAACACTGTTTTTGCATAATCTGAAATTGGACATTTGGAGCGCTTTGCTGTCTAAGGTAGAAAAGGAAATATCTTCATATAGCATCTAGACTGAAGCAGTCTGAAAAACTTCTTTGTGATATGTGCATTCATCTCACAGAGTTAACTTTTTCTTTTCACTGAGCAATTATGAAAATCTCTTTTTGTAGAATCTGCAAGTGGACATTAGGGGCGCTTTGAGGCCTATGGTGGAAATCGAAATACCTTCACATAAGAACTAGACAGAAGGATTCTGAGATGTTTCTTTGTGAAGTGTGAATTCATCTCACCGAGTTGAATTTTACTTTCAGTTGAGCAGTTTTGAAACACTCTTTTTGCAGAATCTGCAAGTGGACATCTGGAGTGCTTTGAGGCCTATGGTGGATAACGAAATATCTTCCCATAATAACTAGACAGAAGCATTCTCAGAAACTTCTTTGTGATGTGTGCATTCAACTCACAGAGTTGAACCTTTCTGTTGTTGGATTAGCTTTGAAACACTCCTTTCATAAAATCTGCAAGTGGACATTGGGAGCACTTTGAGGCCTCTGGTGGAAAAGAAAACATCTTCACATAAAAACTAAACAGAAGCATTCTGTCAAATTTCTTTGTGATGTGTGCATTCATCTCACAGAGTTGAGCCTTTCTTTTCATTGAGCAGTTTGGAAATGCTCTTTTTGTACAATGTGCTAGTGGACATTTGGAGCACTTTTAGGACTATGGTGGAAAAGGAGATATCTTCAGATAAAAACTAGATCGAAGCATTCTGACAACCTTCTTTGTGATATGTGCATTCATCTCACACAGTTGAAACTTACTTTTGATTGAGCAATTTTGAAACATCCTTTTTGTGGAATCTGCAGGAGGATATTTGGAGGGCTTTGATGCCTATTGTGGGGCCTATTGTGGAATAGGAGATATCTTCACATTAAAACTAGATAGAAGAATTCTGAGAATCTTCTTTGTTATGTGTGCATTAATCTCAGAGAGTTGAACCTTTCTTTTGATTGAGCAGTTTTGGAACACTCTTTTTGTACAATCTGCAAGTGGATGTTTGGAGCGCTTTCAGGACTATTGTGGAAAAGGAAATATCTTCAAATAAAAACTAAACAGAAGCATTCTGAGAAACTTGCTTGTGGTGTGTTCATTGGTCTCACAGAGGTGAAGTTTTCTTTTGATTGAGCTGTTGGAAACACTCTTTTTGTAGAATCTGCAAGTGGACATTTGGAGTGCTTTGTAGCCTATGGTAGAAAAGGTAACATCTTCACATAAAATATAGACAGAAGCAATCTGAGAAATTTTTTGTGATGTGTGCACTCAGCTCAGAGAGATAAACCTTTCTTTTGATTAAGCAGTTTTGAAACTGTCGTTTTGTAGAATCTGCAAGTGAACATTTGGAGTGCTTTCAGGCCTATTTTGGAAAAGGAAATATCTTCACATAAAAACTAGACAGAAGAATTCTAAGAAACTTCTTTGTGATGCGTGCGTTCATCTCAGAGAGTTGAACATTTCTTTTGATTGAGCAGTTTGGAAACACTCTTTTTGTACAACCTGCAAGTGGACATTTGGAGGGCTTTGCAGCCTATGGTAGGAAAGGAAATATCTTCACATAAAATCTAGACAGAATCAATCTGAGAAACTTCTTTGTGATGTGTGCATATATCTCACAGAGTTAAACTGTTCTTTTTATTGAGCAGTTTTGAAACTCTCTTTTTGTAGAATCTGCAAGTGGACATTTGGAGCGATTTGAGGCCTATGGTGGAAAAGGTAACATCTTCACATAAAAACTACACAGAAGAATTCTGAGAAACTTCTTTGTGATGTGTGCATTCCTCCCACAGAGTTGAACCTTTCTTTTGATTGAGCAACTTGAAAACACTCTTTTTGTAGAATCTACAAGTGGATATTTAGAGCGTTTTGCGACCTATGGTGGAAGAATAAATATCTTCACATAAGAACTAGACAGAAGAATTTTGAGAAACTTCTTTCTGATGTGCTCATTCATCTCACAGAGTTGAACCTTTCTTCTTATTGAGCAGTTTGGAAACACTCTTTGTATAATCTGCAAGTGGACATTTGGAGCGATTTGCTGCCTATGGTAGAAAAGGAAATATCTTCATATAAAATCTCGATAGAAGCAATCTGAGAAACTTCTTTTTGATGTGTGCATTCATCTCACAGAGTAAAACCTTTCTTTTGATTTAGGAGTTTTGAAACTCTCTTTTTGTAGCATCTGCAAGTGGACATTTGGAGCGCTTTGAGACCTGTGATGGAAAAGGAAATATCTTCACATAAAAACTACACTGAAGAATTCTGTGAAACTTCTTTGTGATGTGAGCGTTCATCTCTCAGATTTGAAACTGTCTTTTCATTGAGAAGTTTGGAAACACTCTTTTTGGAGTATTTGGAAGTGAACATAATGTGCGCTTTGTCGCCTATGGTAGAAAAGTAAATATCTTCATATAAAATCTAGACAGAAGCAATCTGAGAAATATTTCTGTTATGTGTGCATTCATCTCACAGAGTTAAACCTTTTTTTGATTGAGCAGTTTTGAAACTCTCTTTTTCAGGAATCTGCAAGTGGACATTTGGAGCGCATAGAGGCCTATGGTGGAAAAGGAAATAACTTCACATAAAAACTAGACAGAAGAATGCTCAGAAACTTTGTGATGTGTGTGTTCATCTCACAGAGTTGAATCATTCTTCTGATTGAGCAGTTTGGAAACACTCGTTTTGTAGAATCTGCAAGTGGACATTTGGAAAGCTTTGCAGCCTATGGTAGAAAAGGAAATATCTTCACATGAAATCTAGAAAGAAGCAATCTGAGAAACTATTTTGTGATGTGTGCATTCATCTCACAGAGTTAAACTTCTCTTCTGATTCAACAGTTTTGAAACTCCCTTTTTCTAGAATCTGAAAGTGGACATTTGGGGCACTTTGAGACCTCTAGTGGAAGAGGAAATATCTTCACATAAAAAGTAGACAGAAGTATTCTGAGAAACCTCTTTGTGATGTGTGCATTCATCTCACAGGGTTGAATCTTTCTTTTGATTGAGCAGTTTGGAAGCACTGTTTTTGTGGAATCTGCAGGTGGATATGTGGAGGGCTTTGAGGCCTATTGTGGGGCTTATTGGGGAGTAGGAAATATCTTCACATTAAAGCTAGACAGAAGAATTCTGAGAAAATTCTTTGTGATGTGTGCATTAATCTCACAGAGTTGAACCTTTCTTTTGATTGAGCAGTTTTGAAACACTATTTTTGTAGAATCTGCAATTGGATGTTTGGAGCGCTTTCAGGACTATTGTGGAAAAGGAAATATCTTCAAATAAAAATGAAACAGAAGCATTCTGAGAAATTGCCTGTGATGTTTCCATTCATCTCACAGAGTTGAACTTTTCTTTTGATCGAGCTGTTGGAAACACTGTTTTTGTACAATCTGTAAGTGGACATTTGGAGTGCTTTGTGGCTTATGGTAGAAAAGGAAACATCTTCACATAAAATCTAGACAGAAGCAACCTTATAAATTTTTTATTATGTGTGCATTCATCTCATAGACTTAAACCTTTCTTTTCATTGATCAGTTTTGAAAATCTCTTTTTATAGAATCTGCAAATGGACATTTGTAACACTTTGAGGCCTATGGTGGAAAAGGAAATATCTTCAATTAAAAACTAGACAGAAAAATTCTGAGAAACTACTTTGTGATGTGTACGTTCATCTCACAGAGTTGAATCTTTCTTTTGATTGAGCAGTTTGGAAACACTCTTTTTGTAAAATATGAAAATGGACATTTGGAGGGCTTTGCAGCCTATGGGAGAAAAGGAAATATCTTCACATAAAATCTAGACAGAATCAATCTGAGAAACTTCTTTGTGATGTGTGCATTCATCTAACAGAGTTAACGTTTCCTTTGATTGAGCAGTTTTGAAACTCTCTTTTAGTACAATCTGCATGTGGACATTTGTAGTGCTTTGGGGCCTATGGTGGAAAAGGAAATATCTTCACATAAAAACTAGACAGAAGAATTCTGAGAAACTTCTTTGTGATGTGTGTGTTCATCACACAGAGATGAAAGTTTCTTTTGATTGAGCAGATTGGAAACACTCATTTTGTAGAATCTGCAAGTGGACATTTTTAGCGCTTTGTGGCCTACATAAGAAAACTAAATATTTTCAAAAAAATCTAGACAGAAGCAATCTGAGAAACTTCTTTGTGATGTGTGCATTCATCTCACAGAGTTAAACCTCTCTTCTGATTCAGCAGTTTTGAAATTCTCTTTTTCTAGAATCTGAAAGTGGACATTTGGGGCACTTTGAGACCTGTAGTGGAAGAGGAAATATCTTCACATAAAAACTAGACAGAAGAATTCTGAGAAACCTCTTTGTGATGTGTGCATTCATCTCACAGAGTTGAACCGTTCTTTTGATTGAGCAGTTGGAAGCACTCTTTTTGTGGAATCTGCAGGTGGATATTTGGAGGGCTTCGAGGCCTGTTGTGGGGCCTATTGGGGCATAAGAAATATCTTCACATTAAAGCTAGACAGAAGAATTCTGAGAAAATTCTTTGTGATGTGTGCATTCATCTCACAGAGTTGAACTTTTCTTTTGATCGAGCAGTTTGGAAACACTCTTTTTGTGGAATCTGCAAGTGGACATTTGGAGCGCTTTGCGGCCTAAGGTAGAAAAGGAAATATCTTCATATAAAATCTAGACAAAAGCAATCTGAGAAACTTCTATCTTATATGTGCATTCATCTCACAGCGTTAAATCTTTCTTTTGATTGAGCAATTTTGAAACTCTTTTTTTGTAGGATCTGGAAGTGGACATTTGGAGGAGTTTGAGGCCTGCTGTGGAAAAGGAAATAACTTCACATAAAAACTAGACAGAAGAATTCTGAGCAACATCTTTGTGATGTGTGCATTCATCTCAGAGTTGAACCTTTCTTTGATTGAGCAGTTTGGAAATACTCTTTTTGTAGAATCCGTCAGTGGACATTTGGAGCGCTTTGCAGCCTATGGTAGAGAACGAAATATCTTCACATAATATCTAGACAGAAGCAATCTCAGAAACTTCTTTGTGATATGTGCATTCACCTCACTGTATTAAACCTTTCTTTTGATAGAGGAGTTTTGAAACTCTCTTGTTGTAGAATCTGCAAGTGGACATTTGGATCAATTTGTGGCCTATGGTGAAAAAGTTAATATCTTCATATGAAAACTAGACAGAAGAATTCTGACAAACTTCTTTGTGATGTGTGCATTCATCTCACACAGTTGAACTTTTCTTTTGATTGGGCAGTTTGGAAACACTCTTTTTGTAGTATCTGCAGGAGGACATTTGGAGCGCTTTGTGGTCTATGTATGGTAGATAAGGAAATATCTTCACATAAAATCTAGACAAAAGCAATCTGTGAAACTTCTTTCTGATATGTACATTCATCTCACAGAGGTAAAACTTTCTTTGGATTGAACAGTTTTGAAACACTCTTTTTGGAGTATCCACAAGTGGACATTTGGAGCGTTCTGAGGTCTATGTTGGACAATGAAAAATCTTCACTTAAAAACTAGACAGAGGAATTCTGAGAAACTTCTTTGTGATGCATGTGCTCATCTCACAGAGTTGAATCTTTCTTTGGATTGAGCAGTTTGGAAACACACTTTTTGTAGAATCTACAAGTGGAAATTGGAGCTCTTTGTGGCCTACAGTAGAAAAGGAAATATCTTCAAATAATATCTAGACAGAAGCAGTCTGAGAAATCTCTTTGTGATGTGTGCATTCATCTCACAGAGTTAAACGTTTCTTTTGATCGAGCAGTTTGGAAACACTCTTTTTGTAGAATCTGCAAGTGGACATTTCGAGAGCTTTGAGGAATATTATGGAAAAGGAAATATCTTCACATAAAAACTAGACAGAAGAATTCTGACAAACTACTTTGTGATGTGTGCGATCATCTCACAGAGTTGAACTTTTCTTTTGATTGAGCAGTTTGGAAACACTCTTTGTAGAATCTGCATGTCGACATTTGCGGCACTTTGTGGCCTATGGTAGAAAAGGAAATATCTTCACATAAAAACTAGAGAGAAGAATTCCGAGAAACTTCATTGATATGTGTGTGTTCATCTCACAGTGTTGAAACTTTGCTTTGATTGGGCAGGTTGGAGACACTCTTTTCATAGAATCTGCAATTGGACATTAGGATCGCTTTGCGGCCTATGGTAGTAAAGCAAATACCTTCACATAAAATCCAGACAGAAGTAATCTGAGGAACTTCTTTCTGGTGTATGCATTCATCTCACAGAGTTAAACCTTTCTTTTGATAGAGCAGTGTTGAAACTCTTTTTGTATAATCTACAAGTGGACATTTGGAGCGCTTTGAGACCTATGGTAAAAAAGGAAATATCTTCACATAAAAACTAGACAGAAGAATTCTGAGAAACGTCCTTGTGATGTGTGCATTCATCTCACAGAGTTGAACCTTTCTTTTGATTGAGCAGTCTGGAAACACTCTTTTTGTAGAATCTGCAAGTGGAGATTTGTAGCGCTTTGCAACCAATGGAAGAAAAGCAAATATCTTCACATAAAATCTAGACAGAAGGAATCTGAGAAACTTCTTTGTGATGTGTGCATTCATCTCACAGTGTTAACACTTTCTCTTGATTGAGCAGTTTTGAGACTCTTTTTGTAGAATCTGCTAGTAGACATTTGGAGTGCTTTGAGTCTTATGATTAAAAAGGAAATATCATCACACAAAAACTAGACTGAAGAATTTGGAGAAACTTCTTTGTAATGTGTGCATTCATCACTCAGAGTTGAACCTTTCTTTTGATTGAGCAGTTTGGAAACACTTTTTTTTTGAATCTGCAAGTGGACATTTAGAGCGCTTTGCAGCCTATGGTAGAAAAGGAAATATCTTCACATAAAATCTAGACAGAAGCAATCTGAGAAACTTCTTTGTGATGTGTGCATTCTTCTCATAGAGTTAAACCTTCATTTTGATTGAGTAGTTTTGAAACTCTCTTTTTGTAGAATCTGCAAGTAGACATTTGGAGTGCTTTGACGCCTACGGTGGAAAGGAAATATCTTCACATAAAAACTAGACAGAAGAATTCTGACAAACTTCTTTGTGATGTGTGCTGTCATCTCACAGATTTGAAAATTTCTTTTGATTCATCAGTTTGGAAACACTCTTTTTGTTGAATCTACAAATGGACGTCTGGAGCACTTTTCATCCTATGGAATAAAATGAAGTATCTTCACATAAAATCTAGACAGAAAAAATCTGAGAAACTTCTCTGTGATGTGTGCATTCACCTCACAGAGATAAACGTTTCTTTTTATTGAGGAGTTTTGAAACTCTCTTTTTGTAGAATCTGCAAGTGGACATTTTTAACGCTTTGATGCCTATGGTGGAAAAGGAAATATCTTCATATAAAAAGTAGACAGAAGAATTCTGAGAAACTTCTTTGTGATATATGCTTTCATCTCACAGAGTTCAACTTTTCTTTTGATTGAGCAGTTTGGAAACACTCTTTTTGTAGAAACTTCGAGTGGACATTTTGTGTGCTTTGAGGCCTACAGTAGAAAAGGAAATACCTTCACATACAATCTAGACAGAAGCAATCTGAGAAACTTCTTTGTGATGTGTGTATTCATCTCACAAAGTTAAGCCTTTCTTCTGATTGAGCAGTTTTGAAACTCTCTTTTTGTAGAATCTGCAAGTGGACATTTTTAGTGCTTTGACACCTATGGTCGAAAAGGAAATATCATCACATAAAAAGTAGACAGAAGAATTCTGAGAAATTTCTTTGTGATGTGTGCACTCATCTCACAGAGTTAAACCTTTCTTTTGATTGAGCAGTTTCAAAACTCTTTTTGTAGAATCTGCAAGTGGACATTTTTAGCACTTTGAGGCCTATGGTGGAAAGAAAATAACTTCACATAAAAACTAGATGGAAGCATTCTGAGAAACTTCTTTGTGATGTGTGCCTTCATCTCCCAGAGTTAAACTTTTCTTTTGATGGAGCAGTTTTGAACCTCTCTTTTTATAGAATCTGCAAATGGACATTTGGAGCGCTTAGAGGCCTAAGGTGGAAAAGGAAATATCTTCACATAAAAACTAGACAGAAGAATTCTGAGAAACTTCTTTGTGATGTGTGTGTTCATCTCACAGATTTGAAACTTTCTTTTGATTGAGCAGTTTGGAGACACTCTTTTTGTAGAATCTGCAAGTGGACATTTCGAGTGCTTTGTGGCCTGTGGTAGAAAACGAAATATCTTCACATAAAATCTAGACAGAAGCAATCTGAGAAACTTCTTTGTGATGTGTGCATTCATCTCCCAGAGTTGAACCTTTCTTTTGTTGGACCAGCTTTAAAACACTCTTTTTGTAGAATCTGCAAGTGGACATTTTGAGCTTCTTGAGTCTATGGTGGAAAAATGAAATATCTTCACATAAAAACTAGACAGAAGAATTCTGAGAAACTTGTTTGTGACGTGTTCATTCATCTCACAGAGTTGAACCTTTCTTTTGATTGAGCAGTTTAGAAACACTCTATTTGTAGAATCTGCAAGTGGATATTTAGAGCATGTTGTGGCCTATGGTAGAAAGGGAAATACCTTCACATAAAATCTACACAGAAGCAATCTGACAAATTTCTTTGTGATGTGTGCTTTCATCTCACAGATTTGAAAATTTCTCTTTATTCAACAGTTTGGAAACACTCTTTTTGTAGAATCTGCAAGTTGACATTTGGAGCGCTTTGAGGCCTAACGTGGAAAGGAAATATCTGCACATAAAAACCAGACAGAAACAATCTGAGAAACTTTTCTGTGATGTGTGCATTCATCTCACAGAGTTAAACATTTCTTTTGATTGAGGAGTTTTGAAACTCTCTTTTTGCAGAATCTGCAAGTGGACATTTGGAGCCCTTTGAGGCCTATGGTGGAAAAGGAAATATCTTCACATAAAAACTAGGCAGAAGAATTCTGAGAAACTTCTTTGTGATATGTGTGTTCATCTCACAGAGTTGAACTTTTCTTTTGATTCAGAAGTTTGGAAACACTGTTTTTGTACAACCTACTAGTGTACATTTGGTGCACTCTGTGGCCTACAGTAGAAAAGGAAATACCTTCACATAAAACCTAGACAGAAGAAATTTGAGAAACTTCTTTGTGATATGTGTATTCAACTCACAGAGTTAAACCTTTCTTTTGATTGAGCAGTTCTGAAACTCTTTCTGTAGAATCTTCAAGTGGACATTTGGAGCGGTTTGAGGCCTATGGTGGAAAAGTAAATATCTTCACATAAAAACTGGACAGAAGAATTCTGAGAAACTTCTCTGTGATATGTGCATTCGTCTCACAGAGTTGAGCCTTTCTTTTGATTGAGCAGTTTGGAATCACTCTTTTTGTAGAATCTGCAAGTGGACATTTGGAGTGCTTTGGGGCCTGTGGTAGAAAGGGAAATATCTTCACATAAAATCTAGACAGAAGCAATCTGAGAAACTTCTTTATGATGTGTGCATTCATCTCATAGAGTTAAACCTTTCTTTTGATTGAGCAGTTTTGAAACTCTCTTTTTGTAGAAACTGCAAGTGGACATTTGGAGCGCTTTGAGGCCTATGGCCGAAAAGGAAATATCTTCACATAAAAACTGGACAGAAGAATTCTGAGAAACTTCTTTGTGATGTGTGCATTGATCTCACAGAGTTAAACTTTTCTTTTTATTGAGCAGTTTGGAAAGCCTCTGTTTGTAGAATCTGCAAGTGGATATTTGGAACACTTTGCAGCCTATGGTAGAAAAGGAAATATCTTCACATAAAATCTAGAAAGAAGCAATCTGTGAAACTTCTTTGTGATGTGTGCATCCATCTCACAGAGTTAAGCCTTTATTTTGACTGAGCAGTTTTGAAACTCTCTTTTTGTAGTATCTGCAAGTGGACAATTTGAGCACTTTGAGGCCTCAGCTGGAAAAGGAAATATCTTCATGTAAAACTAGACAGAAGAATTCTGAGAAACTTCATTGTGATATGTGCATTCATCTCACAGAGTTGAAGCTTTCTTTTTATTAAGCAGTTTGGAAACACTCTTTTTGTAGAATCTGCAACTGGACAGTTAGAGCTATTTGCAGCCTACTGTAGAAAAGGAAATATCTTCACACAAAATCCAGACAGAAGCAATATGAAAAACTTCTTTGTGATGTGTGCATTCAGCTCACAGAGTTAACCCTTCCTTTTGATTGAGGCGTTTTGAAACTCTCTTTTTGTAGAATCTGCAAGTGGACATTTGGAGCGCCTTCAGGCCTATGGTGGAAAGGAAATATCTTCACTTAAAAACTAGACAGAAGAATTCTGAGACAATTCTTTGTGATGTGTGCATTCATCTCACAGACTTGAGCCTTTCTTTTGATTGAGCAGTTTGAAAACACTCTTTTTGTAAAATCTGCAAGTGGACATTTGGAGCGCTTTGCAGCCTTTGCTAGAAAAGGAAATATCTTCACATAGAATCTAGACAGAAGCAATCTGAGAAACTTCTTTGTGACACGTGCATTCATCTCACAGAGTTCAACATTTCTTTTGATTGAGGAGTTTGGAAACACTCTTTTTGTAGAATCTGCAAGTAGATATTTGGAGCATGTTGCGGCCTGTGGTAGAAAAGGAAATAACTTCACATAAAAACTAGATAGAAGAATCCTGACAAACTTCTTTGTGATGTGTGCTTTCAACTCACAGATTTGAAAATTTATTTTGATTCAACAGTTTGGAAACACTCTTTTTGTTGAATCTACAAGTGGACATTTGGAGCGCTTTTGGTCCTATGGAAGAAAACGAAGTATCTTCACGTAAAGTCTAGACAGAAACAATCTGAGAAACTTCCCTGTGATGTGTGCATTCATCTCACAGAGTTAAACATTTCTTTTCATTGAGTTTTGAAACTCTCTTTTTGTAGAATCTGCAAGTGGACATTTTTAGTGCTTTGACGCCTATGGTGGAAAAGGAAATATCTTCATATAAAAACTAGACAGAATTCTGAGAAACTTCCTTGTGATATGTGCTTTCATCTCACAGAGTTCAACTTTTCTTTTGATTGAGCAGTTTGGAAACACTCTTTTTGTAGAAACTGCAAGTGGACATTTGGTGCGCTTTGAGGCCTACGGTAGAAAAGGATATATCTTCCTATAAAATGTAGACAGAAGCAATCTGAGAAACTTCTTTGCGATGTGTGCATTCATCTCACAGAGTTAAACCTTTCTTTTGATTGAGCAGCTTTGAAACTCTCTTTTTGTACAATCTGCAAGAGTACATTTGGAAAGGTTCGCGGCCTATGGTGGAAAAGGAAATATCTTCACATAAAAACTAGACAGAAGAATTCTGAGAAATTTCTTTGGGATGTGTGCACTCATGTCACAGAGTTAAACCTTTCTTTTGATTGAGCAGTTTCAAAACTCTTTTTGTAGAATCTGCAAGTGGACATTTTTAGCGCTTTGAGGCCTATGGTGGAAAGGAAATATCTTCACATAAAAACTGGACAGAATTCTGAGAAAGTTCTTTGTGATGTGTGCATTTGTCTCACAGAGTTGAACTTTTCTTTCAATTGAGCAGTTTGGAAACACTCTTTTTGTAGAACCTGCAAATGGAAGTTCGGAGTGCTTTGTGGCCTATGGTAGAAAAGGAATTATCTTCACATAAAATCTAGACAGAAGCAATCTGAGAAACTTCTTTGTGACTTGTGCATTCATCTCACGGAGTTAAACCTTTCTTTTGATTGAGCAGTTTTGAAACTCTCTTTTTGCAGAATCTGCAAGAGTACATTTGGAATGCTTCGAGGCCTATGGTGGAAAATGAAATATCTTCACATAAAAACTAGAGAGAAGAATTCTGAGAAACTTTTTTGTGATGTGTGCATTCATCTCACAGTGTTAAACCTTTCTTTTGATTGAGCAGTTTTGAAACTCTTTTTGTAGAATCTGCAAGTGGACATTTTCAGTGCTTTGAGGCCTATGGTGGTAAGGAAATATCTTCACATAAAATCTAGACAGAAGCAATCTGAGAAACTTCTTTGTGATGTGTGCATTCATCTCACAGAGTTAAACTTTTCTTTTGCTCGAGCAGTTTAGAAAGCTTCTGTTTGTAGAATCTGCAAGTGGACATTTGGAGCACTTTGCTGCCTATGGTAGAAAAGGAAATATCTTCACATAAAATCTAGACTGAAGCAATCTGAGAAAATTCTTTCTGATGTGTGCATTCATCTGACAGAGTTGAACCATTCTTTTGATTGAGCAGTTTGGAAACACTCTTTTAGTAGAATCTGCAAGTGCATATTTGGGGCCCTTGGGGTCTGAATGATTGTCCCTCACATAGGATTCGTGAACACTGCTGCTGGGGTCTGAATGTTTGTCCCTCACATAGGATCCCAGAACACTGCTGCTGGGGTCTATATGTATGTCCGTCACGTGGGATTCCAAAACACTGCTGCTGGGTTCTGACTGTTTCTCCCTCTCATAGAATTCCATAGCACTGCGACGAGGTTCTGAATGTTTGTCTGTAACATAGGATTCCAGAACGCCCCCCGCCCGTTGTTTAAATGTTTGTCCCTCACATTGGATTCCAGAACACTGCTGTTGGATTCTGAATGTTTGTCCCTCACAGAGGATTCCAGAACACTGCTACTATTGTCTGAATGTTTGTCCCTCACATAGGATTCCAGAACCCTCCTAAGAGTGTGTGAATGTTTGTCCCTCACATAGATTTCCAGATCACTGCTACGATTGTCTGAATGTTTGTCCTACACTTAGTATTCCAGAACACTGCTACGACAGTCTGAATGATTGTCCCTCACACAGAATTCCAGAACACTGCTACGACGGTCTGAATGATTGCCCCTCACATAGGATTCGAGAACACTGCTGCCGGGGTCTGAATGTTTTTCCCTCACATAGGATCCTAGAACACTGTTGCTGGGGTCTACATGTGTGTCTGTCACATAGGATTCCAAAACACTGCTGCGGGGTTCTGACTGTTTTTCCCTGACATAGAATTCAAGAACACTGCGACGAGGTTCTGAATGTTTGTCTGTAACATAGGATTCCAGAAACCCCCTCCCCGTAGCTTAAATATTTGTCCCTCACATTGGATTCCAGAACACTGCTACCATTGTCTGAATGTTTGTCCTTCACATAGGATTCCAAAACATTGCTATGGGGGTCTGAATGTTTGTTCTTCACATAGGATTCCAGAACACTCCTGCTGTGTTCTGAATGTTAGTTCCTCCTATAGGATTCCCTAACACTGTCACGAGGTTCTGAATGTTTGTTCCGCACATAGGATTCCAAAACACTCCTGCTGTGTTCCGAGTGTTTGTCCCTCACATAGGATTCCAGAACAATCCTGCCGTGGTCTGAATGTGAGTCCCTCACATAGGTTTCCAGAATACTGCTGCTGGGTTCTGTGTGTTTCTCCCTCACATAGAATTCCATAACACTGTGAAGAGATTATTAATGGTTGTCCGTTACATAGGATTCCAGAACAATCTCGGTGTTGTTTGAATGTTTTTCCCTTACATAGGTTTCCAGAACACTGCTACGTTTGTCTGAATGTTTGTCCCTCACATAGGATTCCAGAACACTGCTGGGAGGGTCCGAATGTTTTTCTCTCACATGGGATTCCAGAACACTGCTATGATTGTCTGAATGTTTGTCCCTCACTTAGGATTCCAGAACACAGCCACGAGGGTCTGAATGATTGTCCCTCACATGGGATTCCAGAACAATCCTGCTGTGTTCTGAATATTTGCCCCTCACATATAGTTACAGAACACTGCTGCTGGGTTCTGAGTGTTTGTCCATCACATGGGATTCCAGAACACAGCTATGAGGGTCTGATTGTTTTTCTCTTACAAAGGATTACAGAACACTGCTGCTGGGGTCTAAAAGTTTCTCCATCACACACTATTCCAGAGCATTGCTACGAGGGTCTGAATGTTTGTCCCTCATTTAGAATTCCACAACACTTCTGCTGGGGTGTGAATGTTTGTCCCTCACACAAAATTCCAGAACACTGCTATGACGATCTGAATGATTGTCCCTCATTTAGGATTCCAAAACACTCCTGTTGTTTTCTGAGTGTTTGTCCCTCACCTAGGATTCCAGAAACTATCCTCCTGTTGTCAGAATGTTTGTCTCTCACATAGGGTTTCAGAACACTGCTGCTGGGTTCTGAGTGTTTCTCCCTCACATAGGATTCCAGAACACTCCTACAAGGGTCTGAATGTTTGACCCTCACATAGGATCCCAGAACACTGCTGCTAGGGTCTAGATTTTTGTCCATCACACCGGATTCCAGAACCCTCCTAAGAAGGTCTGAATGTCTGTTCCTCACAGGGGATTCCAGAACACTCCTGCTGTGGTCTCAATGTTTTTCCCTCACACAGGCCTACAGAACACTGCTACGGGAGTCAGAATGTTTGTCTGTCATGCAGAATTCCAGAACACTGGCACGAGTGTCTGAATGATTGGCCATCACATAGGATTCCAGAACACTGTCGCTGGGGTCGTAATGTTTGTCCCTCACATAGGATTCCAGAACACTGCTGCTAGGGTCTACAGGTATGTCCATCACATAGGATTCCAGAACACTGCTTTTGGTTTCTGAGTGTTTCTCCCTCACATAGAATTCCAGAACACTGCGATGAGGGTCAGAATATTTGTCCATAACATAGGATTCCTGAACAATCCCGCTGTTGTTTGAATGTTTGTCCCTCACATAGGATTATGGAACACTGCTACAATTGTCTGAATGTTTGTCCCTCACATAGCATTCCAGAACACTGCTACGACTGTCTGAACGTTTATTCCTCACAGGGGATTCCAGAACACTCCTGCTATGGCCTGAATGATTGTCCCTCACATAGGATTCCAGAACACTGCTATGGGGGTCTGAATGTTTGTGCTTGACACAGAATTCCAGAACACTGCTACGAGGGTCTGAATGACTGTCCCTCACATAGGATTCCAAAACACTGCTGCTGGGGTCTACATGTATGTCCGTCACATAGGATTCCAGAACACTGCTATTGGGTTCTGACTGTTTCTCCCTCACATAGAATTCCAGAACATTGTGACGAGCGTCTGAATGTTTGTCTGCAACATAGGATTCCAGAACACTGTCGCTCTTGTTTTTGTTTGTCCCTCACATAGGATTCCAGAACACTGCTACCATGGCCTGAATGTTTGTTCCTCACACAGGATTCCAGAACACTGCTACAAGGGTCTGAATGTTTGTCCCTCACACAAAATTCCAGAACATTGCTATGAGGGTCTGAATGTTTGTCCCTCATACAGAATTCCAGAACACTGCTATGATGGTCTGAATGATGGTCCCTCACATGGGACTCCAGAACACTGCTGCTGGGTTCTGAATGTTTGTCCCTCACATAGGATTCCAGAACACGGCTGCAGGGGTCTACATGTATGTCCGTCACATGGGATTCCAGAACAATGCTGCAGGATTCTGAGTGTTCCTCCCTCACATAGAATTCCAGAAGACTGTGACGAGGGTGTGAATGTTTGTCCGTAACTTAGGATTCCAGAAGACTCCCGCTGTTGTTTGAATGTTTGTTTCTCACATAGGATTCCATAACACTGCTGCTTGAGTCTGAAGGTTTTTCCCTAACATAGGATTCCAGAACACTGCTATGATTGTCTGAATGTTTGTCACTCCGTAGGATTCCGGAACACTGCAACGAGGGTCTGAAAGTTTGTCCCTCACTCTGGATTTCAGAACACTCTGCTGTGGTCTGAATATTTGTTCCTCACTTCGGATCCAGAACAGTGATACGAGGGTCTGAATGTTCGTCCCTCATGTAGGATTCCCCAACACTGCTACAATTGTCTGAATGTTTGTCCCTCACATAGGATTCCAGAACACTCCTGCTGTGGTCTGAATGTCTGTCCCTCACATAGGGTTGCAGAACACTGCTGCTAGATTCTCAGTGTTTGTCCCTCACATAGGATTCCAGAACACTGCTACAAGGGTCTGAATATTTGTCACACACATAGAATTGCAAAACACTGCTGCTGGGGTCCGAAAATTTGTCCCTTACATAGGATTCCAGAACATTGCTGCTGGGGTCTACATGTATGGCTATCACATAGGATTCCAGATCACTGCTGCTGGGTTCTGAATGTTTCTCCCTCACATAGAATTCCAGAACACTGTGACGAGGGACTGAATGTTTCTCAGTAACATAGCATTCCAGAACACTCTCGCAGTTGTTTGAATATTTGTCCCTCACATAGGATTCCAGAACACTGCTACTGGGGTCTGAGTTTTTGTCCCTCACATAGTATTCCAGAACACTGCTACGATTGTCTGAATGTTTGTCCCTCACATAGGATTCCAGAACGATCCTATGAGGGTCTGGATGTTTGTCCCTCACATAGGATTCCAGAACACTGCTATGATTGTCTGAATGTCTGTCACTCACATAGGATTCCAGATCAGTGCTACGAGGGTCTGAATGTTTTTCCCTAATATAGGATTCCTGAATACTGCAACAAGGGTCTGAATGTTTGTCTGTAACATAGGATCATGGAACACTACCCCTGTTGTTTGAATGTTTGTCCCTCACATTGGATCCCAGAACACTGCAACTAGGGTCTGAATGTTTGTCCCTCACATAGGATTCCAAAACACTCCTGCCATGCTCTGAGTGTTTATTCCTCACATAAGATTCCAGTACAATCCTGCTGTGGTCTGAAAGTTTTTCCCTCACATAGGGTTCCAGAACAATGCTTCTCGGTTCTGAGTGTTTTTCCCTCACATATGATTTCATAACTCTACTGGGAGGGTCTGAATATTTGTCCCTCACATAGCATTCCAGAACACTGCTGTTGGGCTCTAAATGTCTGTCCATCACATAGGATTCCAGAACAGTGCCACGAGCTTCTGAATGTTTGTTCCTTACAGGGGATTCCAGAACACTCCTGTTGTGAATATTTGTCCCTCACACAGGATTCCAGAACACTGCTATGAGGGTCTGAATTTTTGTCCCTCACACAGAGTTCCAGAACACTGCTGTGAGGGTCTGAATGATTTTCCCTCACATAGTTTTCCAGAACACTGCTACTGGGGTCTGAATGTTTGTTCCTCACATAGGATTAAAGAACACTGTCCCTGGGTTCTGAGTGTTTCTCCCTCACATAGAATTCCGGAAGACTGCAACGAGGGTAACAACGTTTGTCGCTCTCATATGGTTCCATAACACTGCTGGTAGGTTCTCAGTGTTTGCCCCAAACATAGGATTCCAGAACATTGCTGCTTGTGTCTAAATGTTTGTCCTTCACATAAGATTCCAGAACACTGCTATGAGGGTCTGAATGATTGTCCCTCATGTAGGATTCCAGAACACTGTTGCTGGGGTCTACAGGTGTGTCCGTCACATGGCATTCCAGAACACTGATATGAGGTCCTGAATATTTGCTCCTCACAGGGGATTCCAGAAACCTCCTGCTGTGTTCTGAATGTTTTTCCCTCACACAGAATTCCAGACCACTGCTACAAGGGTCTGAATGTTTGTCCCTCACACAGAATTCCAGAACACTGCTATGACGGTCTGAATGATTGTCCCTCACATGGGACTCCAGAACACTGCTGCTGGGTTCTGAATGTTTGTCCCTCACATGGGATTCCAGAACACAGCTACAAGGGTCTTCATGTATGTCCGTCACATAGGATTCTAGAACAATGCTGCAGGATTCTAAGTGTTCCTCCCTCGCACAGAATTCCAGAAGACTGCGACGAGGGTCTGAATGTCTGTCGGTAACATAGGATTCCAGAAGACTCCCGCTGTTGTTTGAATGTTTGTCCCTCACATAGGATTCCAGAACACTGATGCTTGAGTCTGAAAGACTTTCCCTCACACAGGATTCCAGAACATTGCTACGACTGTCTGAATGTTTGTCATTCCGTAGGATTCCAGAACACTGCCACGAGGGTCTGAAAGTTTGTCCCTCACTGTGGATTCCAGAACACTCTGCTGTGGTCTGAATGTTTGCCCCTCACTTGGGATCCGAAACAGTGATACGAGGGTTGGAATGTTCGTCCCTCACATAGGATTCCCCAACACTGCTACGATTGTCTAAATGTTTGTCCCTCACATAGGATTCCAGAACACTCCTGCTGTGGTCTGAATGTCTGTCCCTCACATAGGGTTATAGAACACTGCTTCTAGATTCTCTGTGTTTGTCCCTCACATAGGATTCCAGAACACTGCTACAAGGGTCTGAATATTTGTCACATGCGTAGGATTCCAAAACACTGCTGCTAGGGTCTGAATGTTTGTCCCTCACAGAGGACTACAGAACACTGAAGCTGGGGTCTGAATGTTTCTCCCTCACATAGGACTACTGAACACTGCTGCTGGGGTCTACATGTATGGCCGTCACATAGGATTCCAGATCACTGTTGCTGGGGTCTACATGTATGGCCGTCACATAGGATTCCAGATCACTGCTGCTGGATTCTGAATGTTTCTCCCTCACATAGAATTCCAGAAAACAGCGACGAGGGTCTGAATGTTTCTCCGTAACGTAGCATTCCAGAACACTCTGGCTGTTGTTTGAATGTTTGTCCCTCACATAGTATTCCAGAACACTGCTACGATTGTCTGAATGTTTGTCCCTCACATAGGATTCCAGAATGATCCTATGAGGGTCTGGATGTTTGTCCCTCACATACGATTCCAGAACACTGCTATGATTGTCTGAATGTCTGTCACTCACATAGGATTCCAGATCAGTGCTACGAGGGTCTGAATGTTTTTCCCTAACATAGGATTCCTGAATACTGCAACGAGGGTCTGAATGTTTGTCTGTAACATAGGATCATGGAACACTACCCCTGTTGTTTGAATGTTTGTCCCTCACATTGGATTCCAGAACACTGCAACTAGGGTCTGAATGTTTGTCCCTCACATAGTATTCCAAAACACTCCTGCCGTGCTCTGAGTGTTTATCCCTCACATCGGATCCCAGAACAATCCTGCTGTGGTCTGAAAGTTTTTCCCTCACATAGGGTTCCAGAACACTGCTGCTGGGTTCTGAGTGTTTTTCCATCACATATGATTTCATAACACTACTGGGAGGGTCTGAATGTTTATCCCTCACATTGCATTCCAGAACACTGCTGTTGGGGTCTAAGTGTTTGTCCATCATGTAGGATTCCAGAACACTGCAACGAGGTTCTGAATGTTTGTTCCTTACAGGGGATGCCAGAACACTCCTGTTGTGTTGTGAATGTTTATCCCTCACACAGGATTCCAGAACACTACTGTGAGGGTCTGAATTTTTGTCCCTCACCCAGAATTTCAGAACACTGCTATGAGGGTCTGAATGATTTTCCCTCACATAGCATTCCAGAACACTGCTGCTGAGGTCTGAATGTTTGTCCCTCACATACGATTACAGAACACTGCCGCTGGGTTCTGAGTGTTTCTCCCTCACATAGAATTCCAGAACACTGCAACGAGGGTCTCAACGTTGGTCCCTCTCATATGGTTCCAGAACACTGCTGGTAGGTTCTCAGTGTTTGTCCCAAACCTAGGATTCCAGAACACAGCTGCTGGGTTCTAAATGTTTGTCTGTCACATAGGATTCTAGAACGCTGTTATGTGGTTCTGAATCTTTGTTCATCACAGGGGATTCCAGAAGAATCCTGCTGTGATCTGAATGTTTGTCCCTCACACAGGATTCCAGAACACTCCTACTATGGTCTGAATGTTTGGCCCTAACATAGGATTCCAGAACATGGCTATGACAGTCTGAATCTTTGTCCCTCACATAGGATTCCGGAACAATCCTGCTGTGGTCTGAATGTATGTCCTTCACATTGCATTCGAGAACACTGCTGCTGCATTATGGGTGTTTGTCCCTCACATTGGATTCCAGAACACTGCTACTAGCGTCTGAATATTTGTCCCTCACATAGGATTCCAGAACACTGCTGCTGTGGTCTAAATGTTTGTCCATCACATGGGATTCCAGAAAACTGCTATGAGGGTATGCATGTTTTTTCCTCACAAGGGATTCGAGAACAATCTTGCTGTGTTCTGAATCTTTGTCCCTCACAAAGGATTCCAGAACACTGCTACGAAGGTCTGAATATTTGCCCTCACACAGAATTCTAGATCACTGCTACATGGGTTTGAATGATTTTCCCTCACATAGGATTCCAGAACACTGCTTCTGGCATCTGAATGTTTGTCCCTCACATAGTGTTACTGAACACTGCTGCTGGGGTCTACATGTATGTCCGTCACATAGGGTTCTAGAGCATGGCTGCTGTGTTCTGAGTGTTTCTCCCTCACATAGAATTTCAGAACACTGGGATGAAGGCCGGAATGTTTGTCCGAACATAGGATTCATGAACACCCTTGCTGTTGTTTGAATGTTGTCCCTTTCATAGGATTCCAGAAAACTGCTGCTGGGGTCTGAATGTTTGTCCCTCACATATCATTCCACAATACTGTTGCGATAGTCTTAATGTTCCTCCCTCACATAGGATTCCAGAGCACTGCTATGAAGTTCTGAATGTTTTTCTCTCACATACGATTCTGGAACACTGCTACAATTATCTGAATATTTTTCCCTCACATAGGATTCCAGAACACTGCTATGATTCTCTGAATGTTTCTCCGTCACATAGGATTCCAGAACACTGTTACGAGAGTCTGAATGTTTGTCCGTCACAAAGGATTCCAGAACACTGCTATGATAATCTGAATGTTTGTCCCTCACGTAGGATTCCAGAGCACTTTTGCTGTGGTCTGACTGTTTGTCCCTCAATTATGTTTCCAGAACACCACTACGAGGGCCTGAATGTTTGTCCCTCACATAGGATTCCAGACACTGCTGCTGGGAGCTAAATGTTTGTCTGTCACACAGGATTCCAGAACACTGCTATGAGAGTCTAAATGTTTGTTCCTCACAGGTGATTCCAGAACAACCCTGCTGTGGTCTGAATATTTATTAATCACACAGGATTCCACAATTCTACTATGAGCGTCTGAATGTTTGTCCCTCACACAGAATTCCGGAACACTGCTATGAGGGTCTGAATGATTGTCCCTCACATAGGATTCCAGAACACTGCTGCTGAGGTCTGTAGGTTTTTCCCTCACATAGCATTCCTGAGCACTGCTGCTGGGGTCTAGATGTATGTCCGTCACATAAGATTACAGAACACTGCTGCTGGGTTATGAGTATTTCTCCCTTACATAGAATTCCAGAACACTGTGACAAGGGTCTGAATGTTTGTCTGTAACATAGGATTCCAGAACACTCCCACCGCTGTTTGAATGTTTGTCCCTCACATAGTATTGCAGAACACTGTTGCTGGGTTCTGAATGTTTGTTCCTGACAGAGGATTCCAAAACTCTGGTATGATTGTCTCAACGTTTTTCCCTCACTTAGGATTCCTGAACACTGCTACGAGGGTTGGAATGTTTGTCTGTCACAGGATTCCAGAACACTGCTACGATTGTCTGAATGTTTCTCCCTCACATAGGATTCCTAAACACTCCTGCTGTGTTCTGAGTGTTTCTCCCTCACATTGGATTCCAGAACAGTCCTGCTGATGTCAGAATGTTTGTCCCTCACATAGGATTCCAGAACACTGCTGCTGGTTTCTGAGTGATTGTCCCTCACACAGGATTCCTGAACACTGCTTCGGGGGTCTGAATGTTTGTCCCTCACATATCATTCCAGAATAATGTTGATAGTCTGAATTTTTATCCCTCACATAGGATTCCAGAACACTGGTACTACTGTCTCAGTGTTTGTTCCTAACATAGGATTCCAGAACACTCCTGCTGGTGTCCGAAATTTTGTCCCTCACATAGGATTCCCGAGCACTGCTATGAGGGTCTGAATATTTGTCCCTCACATAGGATTCCAGAACCCTGCAACGATTGTCTGAATCTTTGCCCCTCACATAGGACACCAGAACACTGCTACAAGGATCTGAAAGTTTGTCCCTCACATAGGACTCCAAAACACTCCTGTTGTGTTCTGAGGGCTTGTGCCTCACATCAGATTCCAGAACAGTCCTGCTGTGGTCTGAATGCTTCTCCCACATATAGGTTTGCAAAACACTGCTGCTGGATTCAGAGTGTTTGTTTCTCACATAGGATCCCAGAACACTGCTACGAGGTCTGAAAGTTTGTCCCTCACATAGGATCCCAGAACATGCTGGTGGGGTCTACATGTATGTCCGTCCCATAGGATTCCAGAACACTGCTGCTAGGTTCTGAGTTTTTCTCCCTCATATAGAATTC